>NC_000006.12:104919274-105070790 GCF_000001405.40 Homo sapiens | reverse complement strand
TTTTATTTTTCTTGAGATAAGGTCTAGCTCTGTTGCCCAGGCTGGAGTGCAGTGGCGTGATAAGGGCTCACTGCAGCCCGGACCTCCCAAACCCAATCATCCTCTACCTCAGACTCTCTAGCAGCTGAGACTACAGGTATACACCACCAGTGTGTGTGTGTGTGTGTGTGTGTGTGTGTGTGTGTGTGTGTGTGTGTGGTTTTATTGATAGAGATAGAGTTTTGCCATGTTGCCCAAGCTGGTGTCTAACTCCTGGGCTCAAGCAGTCCCTCCCATCTTGGCCTCCCAATGTGCTAGGATTACAGGCATTAGCCACCTTGCCTGGCTGGCATTTCACTTTTACTCTGTAAATTTTTGTATAGTTTCTTTTTTAAATAACAAGAAAGAACTGATATATTATTTGTGTAATTAAAAAAGAGCAATTATAATTATAAAACCCCATTGCCATTGTGTAATTGACCTTCATTATTATTGTTAGTCATCTGACAGTGAGCCTGTCTACCAGTGACTCAGAATCATTTTGAAAGCTTTCAAAAAATACTAATGCCTTGGTCCTACTCTAGACCAATTAAACCAGAATCTTTGAGGATGATGCCCTAAGCATCAGTACTTTTTAAAGTTTCCCAGGAGATGGTGATGTGCAGCTACTTGAGAACTACAGCTATTAACAAACTCAAGTGTCGCACTGACAATATTTCCCACTATAAGGAATGTGGTTCAAAAGAGAATAAATCTCTCAAAACAGTTTTCAACAGGTTACTCACTCATGCCTCAGAAAGGAAGAGGGGAGGGGTGGAAGGAGGGAAGGAGGAAGGGAAAGAGAAGGAAATAAGGGAGTAAGCAAGGGAGGGAAGAAGTGTGTGTATATATCTCTTATTTCCTTATTGAGAATGGATCCTTGAAATTTCTGGTTGTGATGGCAGAAAAGCTCCTCAACCTTTTACCATCACTGATCCCTGGAAGGCACACACTGCAAAAACCTACTGAGTTTAACTTCAGATATGGTTTCTCTGTTCAATTTATAATTTATCAATCAAGAACAGGTTCAATGTATACTTGTGTCATCAAAATGGATGATAACTTACAGCTTTTTTTTTTTTTTGAGACAGGGTCTTGCTCTGTTATCCAGGCTGGACTACAGTGGCATAATCAGGGCTCAGCATCCCTCAGTAGCTGGGACTACAGGTGTGTGCCAACATGCTTGGCTAATTTTTTTTTTTAAATTTTTTGTAGAGACGGGCTGTCACTTTGTTACCCAGTCTGGTCTTGAACTCCTGGGCTCAAGTAATCCTCCCACCTTGGTTCTCCAAAGTGCTGGGATTAGAGGCGTGAGCCACTGCACCCAGCAAATTTACAGCTCCTTAATCAATAGCTACTTTCCCTAAATTTCACCATCATTACCAATTAACAATTACTGATTTCCCATAATAACTCTTTTAATTCTCCATCTTCTATTGCCTACATCTAAAATAATTTTGAACAGCATATAAATTTGTTTAGTATGGACATGCTCTTGCAAACGTTTCTCTCCATGGCCAAATTCTGTTTTTTTGTTTGTTTTGTTTTGCTTTTTGAGACAGGGTCTCACTGTGTTGCCCAGGCTGGAGTGCAGTGGCACAATCTTGGCTCACTGCAACCTCCACCTCCCAGGTTCAAATGATTCTCATGCCTCAGCTTCCTGTGTAGCTGGGATTATAGGTGTGCACCACCACACCCAGCTAATTTTTTGTATTTTTAGTAGAGTCAGGGTTTCACTATGTTGGCCAGGCTGGTCTCAAACTCCTGGCCTCAAGTGATCTGCCTGCCTCGGCCTCCCAAAGTGCTGGGATTACAGGTGTGAGCCACTGCATGCGGCCTCTGTTGGCATTTAAATAGAAAATTACTTTCTTGTCAGTATAAATATAATAAGATCTCTGCTTTTTATAAAAATGATTAAGTATGTTATTTTTCAAAACCCTAATATCTAAACTACATTGTGCTTAAAATAATGCCATTAATAAGATAACTACTGCTCACTGTTTTCCATACCTAAAGAAAAGGAAGTCCATAAAAGATAGTATTTAAACCTATTTAATCAGACCACCCTATGGGTAGGTGCTCAGTATTATCAAATAAAAAGCAAAATTCAGTTAGTATAATTGCCATTTGGTTCTTTCTGTTGCATAATAAATCGTGTGTTTGGAAGGCTCTGTATTGTCCAGTACTATTCAGCGTAACAAGCAGGGATCAGCCTGTGGTCTCATGGAACCAAAGTAAATTCAAACTCTGAACTGCTGGCAGTGGAAATGAATACTCTATGTCTCCCCTAAAGCTCAGTGTTCAGACCAACTTAACTAATTTTTAAAAAAAATTATCAACTACTGTTCTAACCTCTTTTATCATCTGATTATATGATGAGAAATTAACTAGACACATTGTCTGCTAGTGGATTCAACTGCTTATAATATTCATTTAATCATTTTCATAGAATCAAATGAAAACCAAATGGACAAAAAAATTGAAGAATATCTACTATGTGCACAACTTTGTATTAGATGCCAATGAAAGGTATGTGAATAGTTAGCTGGATGGTTAAGATTTACACATTTTATCTCATTTAATATCTTCTCCTGACTGGTTTTTGGATTGTCATAGGTTTATTAGCTTTTGGACACTTTCTCTGATTAATGCCATCAACTATCTCATAACATCAGTGAAAATGCACCAAAGTATACTGAAAACCAGCTAAAATACAGTAATAGCTCTATTCACAAACCTTTCATCATCTTATAAAAACAAGAAGGTAAGAGGAAAAATGCGGGGAATGGGTATGTAATGAATGGTGGTGCAGATCACTGAGAAATGGGGATGAAACATGTAGCAGTTTTAAAAGCAAACAAGACATGGAAGGGGAGAGAAATCACTGGAGGCATGGGGGCAAAGGGGAGCATTTTTCATATAAGGGTACTTCAATCAGGCATAGCTATAAACCAGACATTTTTATATATCATTCCATTATGTTTAAAAGTACTTGGTAGATTCTGTGTCAAATCAATGGAACAATATTCATTTGATGAAAGTTTTCTACTTTGTACTGTAACTTGAGAAGGAGCATAATAATGAATTCTAGGTCATAAGTTTAAACTTTATTTCAAATAGAAATGTTATCTCTCTCTTACATGATAAACAACATCTCAGACAGATAGTCTGTTCTGGCTAATGGAAAAGTTTAAAAAAAAGAGAGAGAGAGAAAGATTACTCAAACACAGATAACTTCATGATTTCCAATTTCCTGGGAGTAAAAGCAGTTTGTTATGAAATAGGACCCAGTCTCACATGCAGTGGGTACTCGGCCAGTGCTGCTTTCAGAACCCAAGACAACTAAGAAGGAGTGTCCAGTTCAGGAGTAACACACACACATATACACAAATAAATAAAAGCCACATGCATTTTTGCTGTTGTAGTGTTTTAACTATCCTAACTGCAGGTTTACATTCATCCTTGTTGGAAGCAAGATCAGTTTATTGACTCTATTTGGTCTTACTGACCTTTGAGTTAAAGTGTTTTAAAAAGTTAGTACTACTATCAATTATGAAAGGAAGGGAAGACGTTCAATATTTAACTTATCTTGAAATGGTTAAAATTAGGTGCTTGCTTAGATGGAAGAATCAGATTATAATATGCAGTCTGGAAATGTTTGTTCATTTATTAGAGCAGCCTTGCCGAAAACTTAAAACCATCAGGGCTGCTTGCTTTTTTCACCAGACTATTTCAAATTCACAGTGTCAGAGGTGTGACATCTGCTGTAAATAAGCATCAGCTCAGCCTGAAGAAATACAATTCCACTAGAGCTTTGTGTCAACTCTTATAAATATTTTTTTCTTCTCATCGCATGATTTCTTTTAGGCTTTTGTTCTGCAGCCAGCATTCTTTTTATCTATTAATATAACATTATTTTGTAAGTCATTCTAAAGTCATATTTTACATATATATATATATGTAAAATGTCTTACTATTAGGACATTTGACCAGAGCACAAGAAATTTTAAAAGAAGAATTCCATCATGATTACCTGATAAGTGAGGCAATAATTTGTTATCTAGAGAAGTAGATGTAAATGTCCAAACAATATATAAAAGAATTTTAACACCATATTAAAAATACCTTAGGTATACAAAATAAGGACTATAAAATAGTGACTAGCTCACATTTTATCACATACACTTCTTCATTAAAACACAGAAGGAAGAGAGAACATGAGAAATTCCAAAGGAAAGAAAGACGTATAGAAGTCAAGAATCAATTTTGGTGGCATGACTGATGTACTGTACATACAAGATTAGATAACAGCTTCAAATTTATACTGGTTGTTTGCAAGCCAGGGGCAAAAGGGCGCTAGATTAAAAGATGTTACCCTAGTTTTAGCAAAGTAAATATCTTCTGGGTTATTCAAAGCTTTGAAGTTACCTATGACTGGGTTACCTTTGATGCAACTAATAATGCTGGTAGAATCTGAGTTTTTACGAAGACAGAATGTTAAAACACCTCTCTATTGGTGTATGGCTGACTGACTACTGAATTACTAGCACTTACTACTAACTACTAGCACTTCCTACTTACTAACTAATTATTATTTTTTGAGACAGAGTCTTGCTGTGTCACCCAGACTGGAGTGCAATGGCACCATCACAGCTCACTACAGCCTAGAGCTCCTGGGCTCAAGCAATCCTCTTGCCTCAGCCTCCCAAGTACCTGGGACTACAGGTGTGTGCCGCCATGCCTTGGCTAATTTTTGTATTTTTAGTGGAGACGAGGTCTCACTATGTTGCCTAGGCTGGTCTCGAACTTCTAGGCTCGGCTCAAGTGATCCACCTACCTTGGCCTCCCAAAGTGCTGGGATTACAGGTGTGAGCCAGAATACCCCCAGCCCCCTGCATTATTATTACATTATTGAATTAGTAAGAAACATTAATCATCTTTCCATTTTGACAATGTTTATATGAATAGCATTAAAAGCATTTATAGAGGGCCAGTGGTCTTAGAACACAGTGCCTGGTATGATTTAACCAAAATGTGTTCTCAGTACAAATTCATGTGCAAGAGCCAAAAGAAGACTATCCCAAGCCATCACCTGTCTTGACAGCTACACAGCAATGAGAAGGAATTAAAACCATTTTGCTCAAGTCAGAAAGGAAAGGCTTCTAATGATCGATAAGTTTGGTCTCCCATTCCAGCACCAGCTACCGCTGAGGAAAACGATGAAGTATAAATGAGAAGTAAATGACCTCTGTCCATTTCTCCCTCTGGCCCAACTGCTCTTCCAGTGACAGACTATATATTGCCTTTTGCCAAGAATCAGCAGTTCTTCAACTGTTCACCATGTACGTAAGTAAAAACTGAACAAGGAAAATTGCTACCATGTTCAGATAACCTCTGTAAACTGTGATATTATCTTCTCTTGTGTAGGTCTTACCTTAAAAATTAGAGCTCAAGATAAAGTCTTGTATGGTGTTCTTGGCCTCATGGCTACTTCCTTTCCTCCTCCTTGCTGACTGAGGGTGCCCTTCATGTCATAATCTTTTTATGACTAAAGCCTGATGGTCAAGCTGCTAAGACATCCCTACAGATCTTTTCTCTGATCACTGATCCCTTAAGGGATCTTGTCTTCCTATTTGAACATTTCGAGGCTGTGACCCTGTGAATACACAGCCACTGGTGGAGGTAAAATCTGAAGGTAAGTATGGGAAGAGCCGTTGAATCCCTGGAGAATCCCCAGATAGAACCAGATTGTTTATACAAGTCCAAATACTCTTAATAACTTCTAATCATTAGGGCTAGATTCTACATGTTAACAGATTTATTTGCACATATTCTGTAAGCCAAAAAAATCGCTTTATTATGAGTACAGTTCCTTAAGTATTTGAATGATGAGTTTTCATCTCCTTTGGTCACCCTCTAGATTTGGCTGGAGGAACTTTCCATGAAGAACTTGGCTTATTCTCTTAGTGGAACAAGAGAAACAAAGACACTAAATATTTTTTTCTAGATTTTTCTTTAAAAAATATTGAATGATACCCTGACTGGTGTGGTAAAAGGAGGTAAATTTGTTTGGGCAATACTTGAGCCTTTTATTCAAAAAATATATTTATTTCAGAAAATAAACATTTAAAAATACAATAGCTACAAATGGCAGTGCTATTTACCACTCTGAATGTAAAGTTCTCTTTATGTGTTTGACATGTAATTTGAATGAATGCAATATATGTGCGGGGGAAAGCTGTGCTTCAGTGGAAAACATCTGGAACCCAGCTTCTGGATTATCTGATTCTGATTCTAAGAGGGTTATTTTATAGCTCTTTCCATGACTGATAACTGATAGAAATACAACATCATTTTTCTTTACAGAGGGGCAAATTCTATCCTGGAGAGTGGAGAGTCAACTGATTTCCCTTCCCCACTGTGGAAAAAGCCAGTTTTGGCTTCATTTGCATATTCATGTCAATATACTTGATCTACAAATATGTCTATTCTTTGATTCTCCTTTGAACAAGTTACAACATTTGGTTCTCTCACTTAACTGTGTTCAATAAATTCTTTAACACTTATTCATCTGATATTTGCATAAAAATCATAATGCTGCCTTTTTTGAAAATTATCCTTTAACATACAGTAAATATGCACCACAGAGCCACTACATAAGATGCAAGAAACATTTATAAGCACTTTTAGGCACAGAGTCTTCTATTTCACCAACTAGCTTTAACACTGAATTATTGGACCCAATTTTAGTTTTTTTGTTTCTTCTCAGTGCTTTTGTTTTTCCTATATCTTGAAACATTTTGATCTTTCATAGTATTGGGACCTATTTCCAACTACACTAAAAGATAAAATAATTATAATATAATAATTATTATAACTATTATATTTAATAAGACGTATTGAAAAATAGAATTCTGAAAAAAAAAAATTTTAAGACTGAGTCTCACTATGTTGCCCAGGCTGGACTGCAGGGGTTATTCATAGGCATGACTGTAGCACAGTGCAGCCTCAAACACCTGGCCTCAAATGATTCTTTCAAGTAGACATGTGCCACTGTGCCCAGCAAGTGATGATAAAATAGAGAAATCATCGCTGTTTTATTATCCTTTACTTTACCTTTTTTTCCCCCCCCCCCCCGAGATGGAGTCTTGCTCTGTCGCCCAGGCTGGAGTGCAGTGGCGCAATCTCGGCTCACTGCAACTTCAGCCTCCCAGGTTCAAGCAATTCTTGTGCCTCAGCCTCTCGAGTAGCTGGGACTACAGGCATGCGCCACCATGCCCAGCTAATTTTTGTATTTTTAGTAGAGATGGGTTTTTACCATGTTGGCCAGGCTGGTCTTGAACTCCTGACCTCAAGTGATCCGCCCTTCTCGGCCTTGCTTAAAGTATTGCCTGATCTTCCAAGAATGTACCAAAGACATTGGGACAGTGTTTTTTATAATCTTTTTCTTTTTAACCTTACATTGAACACAGCTGAGAATTCAGAAATTTTCATTTCTGTCCATAATGGCAGAGAGAAGATGAATAAGAGCATAAATACAAAAAGATACCTAGCAGTACTCTAGACTCTAATTATAATGATGTAATTGTATAAACTAAATCTCAGAGTATGAGCCTTTATATAAGACAAATAAATAAATATTCACTGAATCAATGAGTAAACAATATTATTTCTAAGGACAAAAAGGAAATTTGTTACCCAGTTAGTCATTCTACAGGATGTCATCATGCAACATTTTTGGACAAAAATTTTTACTAAAAGAACACGTGACAGTATTTTACCTTTTATGAGGTTTGTACTAAGAAATTTACATAAGAAACCATACATAAGAAATATGGCTCATAAGTGGACAAATGCTTAAGGCACTGACTGAAAGGAAATAACATAGAAATGAAAAAAATCAATCAAATTGATCATTCTAATCAATGTCTAAAAATGAAAATGTTTTGTCATAGGCTAAAGAAAATGACCACCTTCTAACAAAATTACGAGCCCTGAAAACTTTCAAAAGTATTTCATTTTGAGGATGTAAATGCAAGAACCACCAAGAACAATAAGCTGGAACCTCTTAGAAACGTATTTGAAAACTGAATCAGTATTTCCAAAATAGGTATGTTCCAGGATCATTCATGCAGAATTACTTGCATTCAACGGAAATCACCCATTATGAAAATTAGTATCTTCATACCAGAAACACATGCAAGAAACATTTGAGTTTGTTAAATTCTTGCTAATTTCCAATGCAGTTTTTAAAGCAGGATTTGATTTATATATTTCTAAATTATTTGTAATATCACTTAAAAATATATTTTAAAACAGTCCATTGGGGTCAAATGGTAACTGTTGCTGACGACTGTTCTTCCTGGTATAGCAATGGCTAATAAAATGTAGATTTTGTTAAATGCTGTAAGATAGAAAGTGTTATGTCTTTTCCAAAAATGACATAATCAAAAACAAAACAAAACAGAACAATGACACAATCACAATTACTGAGAGCGAGAGGGATGACTTTGTAAAGGAGTTGGCCTGGCTGCAACATAGTACTTAAAAGTTATTTTAAAATGAGTAAGGTTTAGGCTGACTCTGAGAGCCCTGCCTCAGAGTCAGCCCTGCTCCGCAAGGAGCAGTACCATTTAAGAAAATATTCCGTCTAAAATAAATAAATACATTAGAATAAAAATAAAAATGAGTAAGGTTTAAATAGATGCAGAGATGGGAAAGAAAATATGCCAGGCAAATAAATGGCCTGAGTATAACACCGAAGTAGAAAAGTAGAGGACATGTTTAGGAAGGCAAGTTGGCTGGCTTGGAAAAGAAAATGGAAACGAAGACTACTGAGCAGAATATTAAATATATTTTACAATGTAATATTTTTAAAACTTTCATCTTACAGTAGAAAAAAAAACCCCTAAGTTTCAAAGTTTATGTACACATTGTTCATGACCTCAAATCTAATAAAAAAGGGAATCCAGGATTTCAGCCTGTAACTCAGATGGTGGTCCATGATAAAACCACCTAATCTCTCTGGGTTTCCTCATCTATAAGTAAGCTTCATACTTCAAGAATTCATTTTTGAAGATGAACATAATTTCCACTTACTTCATTTGGTTGCTGTTGGTCTTAAATGAGATACATATTTTAAAATGTTTTGTTAATTATAAACCTCCATATATAAATGGTAGGTGAAATTTCTCCACTAGTGTTAAGACAATTCATGGTAGATGAATTGAAGCCCTCATGAACTGGGGGGTGGGGGTGGGGGGAGCGAGAGCAAAAATAAATAGCAGAAGAAGCTTAAAATATTTTTCTCTTTACAAGAATGCTAAAGAGATCAAACTAAATAGCCCAATAATGATACAATATATATATCTTATGAATGCTCTATAATTAATTTCTATTTTCCATTCCTTTTATACTGGAATTTTCTTGACCATCTCCTACTGTTCCATTTTGATTAGATATTAGTAAATTAATTTGCTTTGTTGCAGATGCCATGCATTTCTTCCTGTATGTAGTTCACTGTCTAAATATTTAATATTTTTCTGCTTCACCCCTTGGAGTCCCTAAAAATCAAATTGCAGGGTAACTTAGTTCATATAAATTCTATCAGAAAATTTGCAGATAAAGGAAATGATAAAGTAGACTATCTTTGTGTAGTACAGTTTTAAGTACTGGGAATTTGCTGACTATTCCTATATTCTAGGGACTGTTCTTTCATCTGGTTTTCAGAATATTAAAGTGGTTTTCTTTCTACCTTACTGATATAATTTTCCTATCTTGTTCTCAGTACCTTTCTAGAGTCACCAAGATCTATACTTATATTTGTCTACCAACTCCCTTTTGAAAAATTAATCAACTTCCTATATACAAACTACTTTCTTTACTCTGATCACTCACAAATTATTCCCACTTTTATGTTTTCTTGTAATCTCAAACTCAACTCATCTCTTCAAGGTCATTTTGACCCAACCCTAGTTTCCAAATCTCTTCCAATAAGTTCTACATTTATCATTGCATTCACAGTGTTTACTGGTATAATACCTGGTTGGCTCAAAGAAATGGAAAAAGCACTATTGAAAAAGTCACTATATTTTGGGCTTTAAAACATCATGCTTACTGGAAGTCAACTCTCCTAAACCCATGAAGTCATCTCAGCTTCCTGTCTATTTGGGAGTAGATTCCTGATCTCTAGCCTTCATGCCATGTCACAGATCGGTCACTGTAACTGATACTCCAGGTGCATCTATCAGTCTGCTCATACCACTCAGTCACCAACCACTGTGACCCTATTTATATTACTGTGGATAATATAAATGAAACGAACAAACAAAAAATTAATTATAGGTCAAGCACAGTGGCTCACTCCTATAATCTCAACAACTTTGGGAGGCAGAGGTGGGCAGATCGCTTGAGCCCAGTAGGTTGAGGCTGCAGTGAGCCATGATCACACCACTGCACTCCAGCCTGGGCAAAAAGGCGAGACCCTATCTCAACAAAGAAACAAACAAACAAAAAAATGAATTAGCAAATCAGTCACCTTCACCTTGTATTATTAAAAAACAGAGTAAAAGGCTGGGCACGGTGGCTCACGCCTGTAATCCCAGCACTTTGGGAGGCCAAGGCAGGCGGATCACCTGAGGTTGGGAGTTCAAGACCAGCCTGACCAACATGGAGAAGCCCTGTCTCTACTAAAAATACAAAATTAGCCAGCCATGGTGGTGCATGTCTGTAATCTCAGCTACTCGGGAGGCTGAGGCAGGAGAATCGCTTGAACCTGGGAGGCGGAGGTTGTGGTGAGTTGAGATTGCACCATTGCACTCCAGCCTGGGCAACAAGAGCCAAACTCCATCTTAAAAAAAAAAAAATACAGTAACATGAGAATAAAGAAAATGAAAAGGGAAAATATTGTAAGATGCTGGAATGTAAGGATGAAAAAAGAATATTTAGTACTAAAGGGCAGCATCATTAAAGTGGAAGAAATGCAAAATGACTAGTGTCAAATGCAATAAAAACATGAATTCCTATTTGCCATACTTTTTGGGCCAAATAGTATTGTCATACATTTTAGTAATATTTCAGAGTAACGGGCACCCACTGAGCTATAATGTAACTCTATGGCAGAAGCTTCATCTTTTGGGCAAAACTACTGCACAGTTCAATTTCCCTTTATCTAATCAATTTTTTGTCAAATCTTACTAAGCTTCACTTACCACTATAATGATTTTTCAATAAAATAGTAATGGAAAAACTACAAGTTAACCACATGTGGATGTGCATCTCTGGAGACACAGCGAGTCTGAAACTTGAAGAGATGCTAAGGTTGAAGTCACAGACTTGGGAGACATCACTGAAAGAACAGACAGTAGCTAAAGCTCAGAGGTCACCTAGCAAAATGTGAAGAGTGAAACAAGAACTGCAGCCAAAGCTTTCAGGAAATCCACTATTTAATAACTTTCAGGTGGAGGAACCAGTTAGGCTTTCTAAGAAGGAACAGCCAGAAAAGTAGAAGGAAGACAAGAAAAGAGATACTTCTCCCTAGTTTAAAAAAAAAAATACATATATATATACACACACACACACAACATACAGTTTCGCATTCAAGAAAGGGGCTAATAGATCAAACAAGATGAGGTATTAAAATAGACTGCTGGATTTAGCAAGTAGGAGATAGTAAGAGGCCACAGATAGAACATAAAACGAATACAAAAGAATTAAGGAACTAAAATTAAACCATAGCGCCAGTATCAAACTTCCTCAAAGTCTGACAAGCATATCTTAGGAAACAGATCTTCCTAGGGGACTCATTTCCTCAGAAAAGCAGCCCTTTCCAAAGCCATGTACTATATATTCTTTTGAAAATCACCAGAGTCCAATAGAAAAACAGACAATGGACGTGAACAGGTAATTCACAAAAAGAGAAAGAAAAATGGCACAAATACCTTTAAAATACCCACAGGAGCAAAAGTGCAAATTTTAAAAAGCAACAACCATACATTAAAATGACATTATATATAACATAATTACATTACATACAAAAATACACTTCATTTCCTTCAAAGTAGCATATAAAATATTCTGAACAACCATACCACTGAAAAACAACTAAAAATGCTGGAAAAATATTCTAAAGCATCCTTTGAACTGCTTTGCTGATGGCACTGAAAAGTCAGTGATGCTTAGAAGCCAAAAACAAAGTGAAAGCAGAAAACTAGGGAGGTCAGTGGAGCACTGAAATAGCCTCTCATTCTGGAGACATCTACAGAACACTAGCAACAATCTGAAGCTTTCATCTTGTAAACTGGTTGATGCAGCAGAGGAGTTAGAAAACAAAGCCTAAGATCTGTCCAGAATTAGGAGTCTAACAGGAGATCCTGTCCCACAGAAAGCTGGAAACCCTGCCCAAAACTATACTCAGAATGTAAAGACCAATGAAAAGTAGTTACCTCAAAGAAGGGAAAAGGCAAGATAACTTTTCTGCTCCCAACTATGTGGTGGGAGGAAGAGAAAACGATCTCCCCCTTGAGAACTGATATCACAAGCCAGATGCTATATGGTGTTGCAGCTCATGTGGGGCTACAACTCAAGCTGAGAATTTCTTTTTAAATGGTTCCCAGTTGGTACAAGTACCTCTAGGAACATGATAAAATAAACACATACCCTCCTCAGAGAAAATGCACCGTCAAGCCAGGAGTCAAAAAATTCCTGTAGACAAAAGTTCAAGAAATATGAATTTCTGGTTAAAAAAATCATAAAAGACAAAATAATTAAATAAATAAGGGACCATGAGCTGCATACAGCCAGTAGAATTAGATCCAAAACGTTCAGATATTGAATTGCTCAGATTCAGACTATAAAATAAGTATGTTTTAACTTGTTTAAAGCAACACTTCTTAACACTACTAGGTCAATATTTCCTTTTTATACTAAGTATTTTTGTAATGCCCCTATTCTTATACTGAAATAAACTTAAAGTAATGTAATCTCTATATACATATAATTTAAACTATCTATATTCCTTAACCATAATATATAGAAAAAAGTAATTTATAGTAAACTAATACATACTTCAATTTTAAAATATAGTGGTAAAACTACACAATAATACAATAAAATATCAATGCTTGTACTTGTCTATGATAAATAAATTGGCTTTAAGCCATTCCATACAAGTAAAAGAAATGAAAGAAGAGGTACACGGGGATACTAAGATAAAAATTATACTGAGTAATATACATATACAGAAAGAGGAAGAAAAATCACCTTGATTGAAGCAGCATAACATGTCAAGGCAAATTAAACACTCAACACTGCAAAAATGAGAAATACAACACTCTTCAAATGAGCTGCATGTTAGGTATAAGTGTAGGAGCCAAATAATTTCCTATGCTGTCAGATGGCAGATGATAGTGATGATGTGTAGCAGAAAACATGCCACATATATTTTAATTCAACCTCATGCTGAGACATAAATTCAGTGTCACGTATATAAAAAGACCTTAGAGACCAGATCCTTTAATAGGTGATGGGGAATAGCTGATGGATTGGAAAACAAAAACTAATACAAGAGGTTATAAAGAAATTATCTCTGGAAATGGTACCACAGTTAGGCTGTAAAACAACATGCAACCCCAAAATAAATTTCTACATGTAATTTTTATAGTATAGATATTTTATCTCTGCATTACAAAAAAAGTTATGAATACTGTATATAGGTTCAGTGGGCTTCTGAATATGATAGACTTATTAGACTTACTCTTCTGTGGTCTACAGCTATAACAATGGGAAAGATATAAGACGCAACTGTTTATTGTCACTGGATAGGACAATAAGTAGTAAAAAACTGTAGCGCTTGATAGAATGGAAACACTCAAAGTAAGCCCAGATGTTTGCCCCAGCTTTCTGCCTGGGTAGACTTTTGGGACTAAGGGGCAAGAAGACAATGAAACACAAGCACAGCAGGATCTCAGTGAGCCATAAAGGCATAAATTTCAGCTCAGAGTTTCTAAAGCAGTTGGAATTCTTGGGACAGGATACTGGAGAGAAGAGATCTGTGCAAATCCTGTACCTTTCCCTCCTTATTCGTAATTAAGGGCCAGGTTGCATGTGTGCAGCACAGGTTGAGACCCTTCAAAACACAGCAGCAGACTTTGTTGTTTGGCAGAGAGATAAGCAAAAATATCCAAGGCCACAAAATGCTGGGAGATACTGGAGTTCTGGCCTGGCCAGAAGTCAAGAAACCACAATGGATTTCAAATCGAGAAACACAGGCATTTCACTTGAGATCCTAGTAAACTCATGCCTTAGGAATAAGGATCATACTCTATGTACCCTAGGACTGCATCCTAGGACTAAGCAAAACATGAAAATAGATCTACCATAATCTAAAATAAAAACAAAATTGGCAAAAGCAAAAACTGTCTACCAGAACAAAAGTCAACATCTTGTAGAGAAAACAAATGACCCGGACTCCCTACAATCTATCAGCCCAATATTCTACATACAATAAAAAAATTACTACGCATGAAAAGAAGCAGGAAAAAGTGACCCATATTTAAGGAAAAAAGTAGTCAAGATCTTAAAAAGACCCAAATGTTGGAAATAGCAGGAAATAACTCAAAATCGCTATCATAAATATGTTCAACAACTTAAAAGAAAAGATGGACATAATGAATGAACAAATGAGGAATAGTGGTAGAAAAAAATAAAAACAGAGGCTGGGCACAGTGGCTCATGCTTGTAATCCCAGCACCTTGGGAGGCCAAGGTGGAAGGACTGCTTGAGCCCAGGAGTTCAGTCCAGCCTGGGCAACATGGCAAAATCCAGTCTCTACCCAAAAAAAAAAAAAAAAAAAAAGCCAGGCATGGTGGCGTGCACATACTCAGGAGGCTGAGATGGGAGGACTGCTTGAACCTGGGAGGCTGAGGCTGCAGTGAGCCATGATCATGCCACTGCACTCCGGCCTGGGCTGGAAGGAAGACCCTGTCTGAAGGGTGGAGGGAAGGAAGAAAGACAGACTATTAAAACAACAACAACAACCAGGAATATTAGAGCTGAAAACTACAATATCTAAAATGAAAATATTCATGGATTGAATAACAGTAACTTAGAAACTGAAGAAAAATTTAGCGAACTTAAAAAGCAGATTATAAGGAAATAGCACAAACTGAATCAAAGAAAATAAAGAAATATGAATATAATAAATATGAAGATATTTTTGCTTATCTCTCTGCCAGACAACAAAGCCTGCTGCTGTGCTTTGAAGGGCCTCAACCTGTGCACATGCAACCTGGCCCTTAATCAAGACTAAGGAGGGAGAGGTACAGGAGTTCTCCTTTGCACAGATCTCTTCTCTCCAGTATCCTGTCCCATGAATTCCAACTGCTTTAGAAACCCTGAGTTCAATTTTACAGTTCTAAATATGTTTAAGATACTGTTATTCATAGTGACACGAGGGACAATATGAAATGGTCTGATATATACATATATGTAATTAGAATCTCAGATGAAGAAGAGAGAACGAAGCAGAATAAAAAACACACGAAGAAATGATGGCCAAAAATTTCCCCAGTTTTATGAAAAACATTGTGGATCAACAAATCCAAAAAGCTCAGAGAAACCGAAACACAATAAATACAAATAAATCCCCCAAAATCCCACACTTTGGTGCATCATAATTCAGCTACTTAAAGCCCAAATAAAGGAATAAGAAAAAAGATACATTTTACACTATGGAACAAATAAATGAATTATATATAACATCCTCTCAGAAATAATGAAGACCAGTTGACAAGTAGTTTAAAAAAAACCCTTTCAATTGAGAATTCTAAATCTATTAAAAATACCTTTTAAAAATTAGGTCAAAATAAAGATATCTGAGTGAATTTTTGGCCAGCAGCAAGAAGCAATGCTAAAAAAAAAAAAAAAAAAGTTGTTCAGGTTCAAGAAAAATGTAACCACATGGAAACTCACTGGCTTGCACCCCGGGTGTGTGGTTCCCCCATGGGGGGCACCCCAAAGTGGCAAGAAGTCCCCTGGGGCATGGGGACAGGACAAAAGGTGATGAATGTCCCTCCATTCCTCAGAGCTCCTAGGACTAAGTTGATTGCTTTCCAGGTTTCAGGTTGTCACTCTCCCACTCCCTCCACAGAATTAGTCAGTCCCATTCCGGTAACTATAATTTCACCTTTATTTTCATTATCCCCTAATGTCTCCAAGACATTTTGTCCATAAGAGCAAGGTGAAATGGGGATAAAGATAGATCTACAGAAAGTAATAAATAAAACTAGAAATGAGAGATGTGTACAGGAAACACTATTTAAAGCAAAAGTAATAACACTGAATTGTGGGACTTATAAATTATGTCAAAATAAAAAATGTATGACATAATAGCACAGAGAATGACACCAGGGTGGTGGTGAATGGAATTAAATTTTGGTAGCATTGTTACATTTTATAGCAAATGAAACAGTATTAACCAAAAAGATGGCAGAAAACAAATACAAACAAAACCAAATGAGAAAAACAGAAAACTGAGAGCAAAATGGCAGACCTGCATCTAACCATATCAATAATTACATTAAGTACAAATGGTCTCAAATCCCAATTAAAAGGCAGAGATCATCAGGTTTGATTTTAAAAAACACACACTAATTACATCTTGACTGCAGGAGACATATTTTAAATATAAGTCACAGATATGTTGAAATTAAAAGGAAACAAACAAACAGTAGGCTGGGTGCAGTGTCTCACGCCTGTAATCCCAGTACTTTGGGAGGCCGAGGCAGGTGGATCACCTGAGATCAGGTGTTTGAGACCAGTGTGGCCAACACGGTGAAACCCTGTCTCTACTAAAAATACAGAAATTAGCTGGGCGTGGTGGCAGGTGCCCATAAACCCAGCCTGTAATCCTGAATATGGCAGGCTGAGGCAGGAGAATTACTTGAACCCGGGAGGCTGAGGTTGCAGTGAGCTGAGATTGTGCCATTGCACTCCAGCCTGGGCTACAAGAGTGAAACACCATCTCAAAATACACACACACACACACACACACACACACACGCACCCACACACACACCATACAAACAACCATAAAAAAGTTGGTGTGGCTATATCACTGTCAGACAAAGGATACTTCAAAGTAATAGATATTACAAGGGAGGTGGGACATTTCATAAACATAAAGGGTCAATTCATCAGGAAGACATAATATGCCCAATATGAAAGCAACGAATCTGCTGTTAATGTGGTTTCAAAGCACATGAAGCAAACAATGTTAGCACTCAAAGAAGAAATAGAGAAATCCACAATCAGTTGAAATTTAACATTCCTTTCCAGTAACAAGTAAGTTTATGAGCACGTGCACACACACACACACACACACACACACACACCATAAGACATAGATTTGGGCTACACTATCGACCACCATTATCTAATTAACACTATAGAACCATGCACTCAACATCTTCTGAATATTCATTCTTTTCAGGTGCACATGAGCCACTGTCTAGGATAGAACCTATCTTGGGACAAAAAAAGTCAATAAATTTCACAAAGTGGAAATCTTACAGAATATGTTTTCTGACCACAAGAGAATTAAGTTAGAAATAAATAAGACATATAGAAATTCCAAAATATTAATAATACAATATATTTTTAAATAACACTTAGATCAAAGAAGAAATCACAAGGAAAATAAAAATGAAAAAATAAATTAAGATTTGTGAAATGCAGCTAAAGCAGTGTTTAGAGGAAAATTTAAAACTTTATCTGTTTATGTTAGAAAAGAAGGTTTAAAAATCAATGGTCTAAGTTTTTACCTAAAGAAGCCACAAAAAGAGAAAAATAAACCAAAAGTAAATAAAGTAAATTAAGTAATCAAGAGCAGAAACCAATGAAATAGAAAACAATATAAAAAAATTAACAAAGCCAAAAATTGGCTAGAAAGGATTTTTAAAAAATGAATAAACTCCTAGTTAGAATGATCAAGAAACAAGAGAGAAGAAATCAACAGCCATTATCAGCAATGAAAAAAGGGAATATTGGTATGTATCTTGTAGTCATTAAGAGGACATAAAGGAATATAATAAACAATTTTATGCCAAAGCATTCCACAGCTTACATAAAAAGGACTCATTCCTTAAAGAAACAAAACATAAGAAAATTGATCTTCAATGAAGCAGTACTGGAAAGCAGGGCCTAATAGGAAGTATTTGGGTCATGGGGGCACTGTCCTTATGAATGGATTAATGTTATTATCCTGGAAATGGGCTCATTATTACAGGAATGGGTTCCTTGTAAAAGGACAAGTTTGGTATCCTTTCCTCCCTTTGCTCTCCCACCATGACACATCAAGAGGGCACTTGCCAGATGCCTGCCCCTTGATCTTGGACTTCCCAGCCTACAAAACTGTGGGCCAATAAAAATTTTTTTCATCATAAATTACCTAATCGGTGGTATTCTTTCATAGTAGCACAAAGTAGACTAAGACACCATCTCACCAAGAATAAAATCAAACTTCATAAACCATGGTCTACATGACCCTGCCAATTTCTCAGCCCTAATCTTGGACCTCTCTTCTCATCAATCAATTCACTCAGTCATACTGGCTGGCCTGCCACTCCTCAAACATGCTCAATTCATTAATGCCTCGGAATCTTTGCACAGGTTTTCCTTTTGAATAAAAATCACTTCCCCCAGATCTTTACAAGGCTTGTTCCCTTACGTCATTCATGTCTCTGCTCAGATGTCATCTCTTCAGGCATTTCCTGATTACTTAATCTAAAACAGTCCAACTATTACTCTGTCCCCTTACACTGCTATAATTTTCTTCACAGCATTTATCACTACCTGACGTCACATTATATACATTTATTAATAAGTCTGTTTTTGCTTATTTGCCTCACATTCTAAAATCTGTGCTCCAGGACGTCAAGACCCTGGTATGTTCCATTCTCTGCTCCATGTTCAGTGCCTAGAACAGTACCTGGTCCATGGCAGGTACTCAACAAAAATTGGTAAAATGAAAGAATTTACAGAGAGAAACTGAGATAGAGGGAAAGATAACTGCACAGGATTACAACTACTTCAATAAATATTTACTAAGTAGTTACTTTGTACCCATGACACAATAGTAAATAAGGCAGACCAGATCCTTGTTCTCATGGAGATTACACTTAAAAGAACTCAGAGTATACGTCTTTCTATTGCAGATTTATTTGAAACTTAAAAAAAAAAAATCCCTGGAGAAGGAAAGAATGTAGTATACAACATTCCTCAGCAATTCAATTACAAACAGTTGTCGTGGCTCTTTCTTTTTCTTTCTTTTTTTTTTTCAGACGGAGTCTCGCTCTGTCGCCCAGGCTGGAGTGCAATGGCACGATCTCAGCTCACTGCAACCTCCACCTCCCAGGTTCAAGTGACTCTCCTGCCTTACCCTCCTGAGTAGCTGGGATTACAGGTGCACGCCACCACGCCTGGCTAATTTTTGTATTTTTAGTAGAGATAGGGTTTCACCATGTTGGCCAGGCTGGTCTCAATCTCCTGACCTCATGATCCACCCGACTCGGCCTCCCAAAGTGCTGGGATTACAGGCATGAGCCACTGTGCCCAGCCCGCAGCTTTTTCTTTTACTCATTATTAACTACATTTTTTTCTTTTAGATATATTTACTTATTAGTCTACATGAATCCTATATACCATTTCTTTTCTTTCTTTTGTTTTTTAATCTAAGGTCTTGCTTGGTTGTCTAGGCTGGTCTCAAACTCCTGGTCTCAAGCGATCCTCCCACCTTAGCTTCCCAAAGTGCTGGGATTACAGCCATGAGCCACCACTCCTAGCCCTATATATGTTTTAAAGCATCATTTGTAAAACACAGTCTTACATATTTTATATCTTGTCTTGAACTTCCTAATAAAACCAAGTACCAAAATCAACATTTCTCAGAGATTTTGGTGATCTCTGTCTAAAAGAAAAAAAAATTTTAAGAAAATTTATGAGGCCATTGTCCTGATAATACAAAAATATACAGTGATGTAAAACATTGTAAAATAACAAAGGGAAGCCCATCAGACTAACAGCAGATCTCTCGGCAGAAACTCTACAAGCCAGAAGAGAGTGGGGGCCAATGTTCAACATTCTTTTTTTTTTTTTTTTTTTTTTTTTTGAGACGGAGTCTCGCTCTGTCGCCCAGGCTGGACTGCGGACTGCAGTGGCGCAATCTCAGCTCACTGCAAGCTCCGCTTCCCGGGTTCACGCCATTCTCCTGCCTCAGCCTCCCGAGTAGCTGGGACTACAGGCACCCGCCACCGCGCCCGGCTAATTTTTTGTATTTTTAGTAGAGACGGGGTTTCACCTTGTTAGCCAGGATGGTCTCGATTTCCTGACCTCATGATCCACCCGCCTCGGCCTCCCAAAGTGCTGGGATTACAGGCGTGAGCCACCGCGCCCAGCCTCAACATTCTTAAAGAAAAGAATTTTCAACCCAGAATTTCATATCCAGCCAAACTAAGCTTCATAAGTGAAGGAGAAATAAAATACTTTACAGAGAAGCAAATGCTGAGAGATTTTGTCACCACCAGGCCTGCCCTGAAAGAGCTCCTGAAGGAAGCACTAAACATGGAAAGGAACAACCAGTACCAGCCACTGCAAAAACATGCCAAATTGTAAAGACCATTCATGCTAGGAAGAAACTGCATCAACTAACGAGCAAAATAACCAGCTAACATCATAATGACAGGATCAAAACCACACATAACAATATTAACCTTAAATGTAAATGGGCTAAATGCTCCAATTAAAAGACACAGACTGGCAAATTGGATAAAAAGTCAAGACCCATCAGTGTGCTGTATTCAGGAAACCCATCTCACGTGCAGAGACACACATAGGCTCAAAATAAAGGGAAGGAGGAATATCTACCAACCAAATGGAAAACACAAAAAGGCAGGGGTTGCAATCCTGTCTCTGATAAAACAGACTTTAAACCAACAAAGATCATAAGAGACAAAGAAGGCCATTACATAATGGTAAAGGGATCAATTCAACAAGAAGAGCTAACTATCCTAAATATATATGCACCCAATACAGGAGCACCCAGATTCATAAAGCAAGTCCTTAGAGAACTACAAAGAGACTTAGACTCCCACACAATAATAATGGGAGACTTTAACACCCCACTGTCCACATTAGACAGATCAACGAGACAGAAAGTTAACAAGGATATCCAGGAATTGAACTCAGCTCTGGACCAAGCGGACCTAATAGACATCTACAGAACTCTCCACCCCAAATCAACAGAATATCCATTCTTCTCAGCACCACATCACACTTATTCCAAAATTGACCACACACTTGGAAGTAAAGCACTCCTCAGCAAATGTAAAAGAACAGAAATTATAACAAACTGTCTCTCAGGCCACAGTGCAATCAAACTAGAACTCAGGATTAACAAACTCATTCAAAACCGCTCAACTACATGGAAACTGAATAACCTGCTCCTGAACGACTACTGGGTACATAATGAAATGAAGGCAGAAATAAAGATGCTCTTTGAAACCAATGAGAACAAAGACACGACAAACCAAAATCTCTGGGACATATTTAAAGCAGTGTGTAGAGGGAAATTTATAGCACAAGAGAAAGCAGGAAAGATCTAAAATTGACACTCTAACATCACAAAAGAACTAGAGAAGCAAGAGCAAACAGATTCAAAAGCTAGCAGAAGGCAAGAAATAACTAAGATCAGAGCAGAACTGAAGGAAATAGAGACACAAAAAACCCTTCAAAACATCAATGAATCCAGGAGCTTGTTTTTTGAAAAGACCAACAAAACTGATAGACTGCAAGCAAGACTAATAAAGAAGAAAAGAGAGAAGAATCAAATAGACGCAATAAAAAATGATACAGGGGATATCACCACCAATCCCACAGAAATACAAACTACCATCAGAGAAGACTATAAACACCTCTTTGCAAATAAACTAGAAAATCTAGAAGAAATGGATAAATTCCTTGACACATACACCTTCCCAAGACTAAACCAGCAAGAAGTTGAATCCCTGAATAGACCGATAACAGGATCTGAGATTGAGGCAATAATTAATAGCCCACCAACCAAAAAAAGTCCAGGAGCAGATGGATTCACAGCTGAATTCTACCAGAGGTACAGGAGGAGCTGGTACCATTCCTTCTGAAACTATTCCAATCAATAGAAAAAGAGGGAATCCTCCCTAACTCATTTTATGAGGCCGGCATCATCCTGATACCAAAGCCTGACAGAGACACAACAAAAAGAGAATTTTAGACCAATATGCCTGATGAACATCGATGCAAAAATCCTCAATAAAATACTGGCAAACCGAATCCAACAGCACATCAAAAACCTTATCCACCATGATCAAATGGGCTTCATCCCTGGGATGCAAGGCTGGTTCAACATATGCAAATCAATAAACGTAATCCAGCATATAAACAGAACCAAAGACAAAAACCACATGATTATCTCAATAGATGCAGAAAAGGCCTTTGACGAAATTCAACAGCCCTTCATGCTAAAAACTATCAATAAATTAGGTATTGATGGGACGTATCTCAAAATAATAAGAGCTATTTATGACAAACCCACAGCCAATATCATACTGCATGGGCAAAAACTGGAAGCATTCCCTTTGAAAACTGGCACAAGACAGGGATGCCCTCTCTCACCACTCTTATTCAACACAGTGTTGGAAGTTCTGGCCAAGGCAATCAGGCAGGAGAAAGAAATAAAGGGTATTCAATTAGGAAAAGAGGAAGTCAAATTGTCCCTGTTTGCAGATGACATGATTGTATATTTAGAAAACCACATCGTCTCAGCCCAAAATCTCCTTAAGCCGATAAGCAAATTTGGCAAAGTCTCAGGATACAAAATCAATGGGCAAAAATCACAAGCATTCTTATACACCAATAACAGACAAACAGAGAGCCAAATCATGAGTGAACTCCCATTCACAATTGCTTCAAAGAGAATAAAATACCTAGGAATCCAACTTACAAGGGATGTGAAGGACCTCTTCAAGGAGAACTACAAACCACTGCTCAGTGAAATAAAAGAGGACACAAACAAACGGAAGAACATTCCATGCTCATGGATAGGAAGAATCAATATCGTGAAAATGGCCATACTGCCCAAGGTAATTTATAGATTCAATGCCATCCCCATCAAGCTACGAATGACTTTCTTCACAGAATTGGAAAAAACTACTTTAAAGTTCATATGGAACCAAAAAAGGGCCCTCATTGCCAAGATAACCCTAAGCCAAAAGAACAAAGCTGGAGGCATCATGCTGCCTGACTTCAAACTATACTACAAGGCTATAGTAATCAAAACAGCATGCTACTGGTACCAAAACAGGGATACAGACCAATGGAACAGAACAGAGCACTCAGAAATAATACCACACATCTACAACCATCTGATCTTTGACAAACCTGACAAAAACAAGAAATGGGGAAAGGATTCCCTATTTAATAAATGGTGCTGGGAAAACTGGCTAGCCATATGCAGAAAGCTGAAACTGGATCCCTTCCTTACACCTTATACAAAAATTAATTCAATATGAATTAAAGACTTAAATGTTAGACCTAAAACCATAAAAACCCTAGAAGAAAACCTAGGCAATACCATTCAGGACATAGGCATGGGCAAGAACTTCATGTCTAAAACACCAAATGCAATGGCAACGAAAGCCAACATTGACAAATGGGATCTAATTAAACTAAAGAGCTTCTGCACAGCAAAAGAAACTACCATCAGAGTGAACAGGCAACCTACGGAATGGGAGAAAATTTTTGCAATCTACTCATCTGACAAAGGGCTAATATCCAGAATCTACAAAGAACTCAAACAAATTTACAAGAAAAAAACAAACAACCCCACCAACAAGTGGGCGAAGGAGATCAACAGACACTTCTCAAAAGAAGACATTTATGCAGCCAAAAGACACATGAAAAAACGCTCATCATCACTGGCCATCAGAGAAATGCAAATCAAAACCACAATGAGATACCATCTCACACCAGTTAGAATGGTGATCATTAAAAAGTCAGGAAACAACAGGTGCTGGAGAGGATGTGGAGAAATAGGAACACTTTTACACTGTTGGTG
Source organism: Homo sapiens (assembly GCF_000001405.40). Lineage (NCBI taxonomy): Eukaryota > Metazoa > Chordata > Mammalia > Primates > Hominidae > Homo > Homo sapiens. The sequence goes on along the minus strand of NC_000006.12, from coordinate 105,046,627 downwards.
GGACTGTAAACTAGTTCAACCATTGTGGAAGTCAGTGTGGCGATTCCTCAGGGATCTAGAACTAGAAATACCATTTGACCTAGCCATCCCATTACTGGGTGTATACCCAAAGGATTATAAATCATGCTGCTATAAAGACACATGCATATGTATGTTTACTGTGGCACTATTCACAATAGCAAAGACTTGGAACCAACCCGAATGTCCATCAATGATAGACTGGATTAAGAAAATGTGGCACATATACACCATGGAATACTATGCAGCTATAAAAAAGGATGAGTTCATGTCCTTTGTAGGGACATGGATGAAGCTGGAAACCATCATTCTCAGCAAACTATCGCAAGGACAAAAAACCAAACACTGCATGTTCTCACTCATAGGTGGGAATTGAACAATGAGAACACTTGGACACAAGAAGGGGAACATCACACACTGGGGCCTGTCATGGGGTGGAGGGAGGGGGGACGGATAGCATTAGGAGATATACCTAATGTAAATGTTGAGTTAATGGATGCAGCACACCAACATGGCGCATGTATACATATGTAACAAACCTGCACGTTGTGCACATGTACCCTGGAACTTAAAGTATAATAATAAAAAAATTAAAAAATTGTAAAATCATTTAGTATTAGTTACAATTACTAACTATAAAAATATCATATGAAAAAATAGAAAACCATACAGAGATGAAAGAAGATGGGTTTTAGATTTTCAAAAAGGTGTTATTAGATAGCACATTACATACTGATCACTTGGAGAGTCATGGTAAAGTTCACAGTTCTGAGTTCTGGCAAGGTTTTGCTCAGCATCCTACCAACTGGACTTTGAAAAGCAGCCTAACCATGCACTACAGCACAACCAGACTTCCTTCCTAAGGCAAATAATGAGTAATTGGTTTAGCATTGTCTAAGTGTGTACAGATATGATTAACTCTTTTAATATGAAGTGAGTGGGTGCTTGCTTTGCCAGCACATATACTAAAATTGGAACAATACAGAGAAGATTAGTATGGCCCCTATACAAGAATGACATACAGGGCCAAGTATGGTGGCTTACACCTATTATCCCAGCAGTTTGGGAGACTGAGGCGGGTGGATCACTTGAGGTCAGGAGTTCGACACCAGCTTGGTCAACATGGTGAAACCCCGTCTTTACTAAAAATACAAAAATTAGCTGGGCATGGTGGCGCATGTCTTTATCCCAGCTACTTGGGAGGCTGAGGCAGGAGAATTGCTTGAACCCGGGAGGCAGAGGTTGCAGTGAGCCAATATAGTGACCCTGCACTCCAGTCTGGGTGACAAGAGTGAGACTCCATCTCAAAAAAAAAAAAAAAAAAACAGAATGACATACAAATTTATGAAGTATTCCATATTAAATAATAATAGTTATTATTATTAAATATAAGTGAGTGGATTTAGGAATACTCAGGATTTAAACAGGCTTACCTATATAAGATATACATAGAATAAAAAATAGTGCCTTCAGGTATTTCTGAAACTTTTCTCAATCTATGATGTGATTAGTTACCTGCTTCTTCTATTACTGCTCCTAACAGTTTAACGTTAAACTATTCACAGCACATATACTTGTAGCTATAAATGTCATATGAAATTTTTTTTAAGAGATAGGGTCACACTATATTGCCTGAGCTGGTCTCGAACTCCTGGGCTGAAGTGATCCTCCCATCTCAGCTTGCCAAGTAGCTGAGATTACATGTGCAAGCCATTGTACTTGATCCAAAAATTCCAATGACTAGAAATACAACTTTAAAATGTTACCATTAAGATCATTTCCATTGGGTAGAACGTGCACTAGTCGGGCAAGAGGTACACTAAAAGCCAGGCTTCACTACTTTACAATTCATCCATGTAACCAAAAGCCACTTGTACCCCTAAAACTATTGAAATGAAAATATTTTTTAAACTAAAACAGTAATTTCCAATGACTGTATTAACTCAATTTTTAGAGCATGAAAAAAATTAGATCAAGCCATATGAAGTAGTTTATCGGCTATAATTAGATTTATATCTTCATTGTGGGAATTGAAATTTCTATTCACAGTACTATACTTTGGATTTACAAACTGTAAAACTGAGATTCCTGTACCACAAATATTTTGTGAATAAAATAATTTGAATTCCTATAAAAATACCAATGAGAGTTGATAATGATGGGAAGAAAGTGATTTTTAAGTTCATCTTTAAAAATAAATGAAAATAGCTATAATAATATCTCAGAACAGTAATAAAGGGAGATTTACCTTTGAGGAATTAAAAGGTATTACAAAAATATAGAAATTAAAACAACTAGCGGAAGAAAGAGTAGGACAAGCTGTAAAAGCATAGAGCCCTGAAACATACATATTAGAAGTAACGTATGGAAGAAATCATTAAATAACAGAAGAACTTTCACAAATCAACAGAGTTCAGCAAGAGATGCTGAGTAAGGGGAAATTCAGAACAGAGCTTCTTAATCTTTATATAATGTAACAAATAAAACTTTTGATGGATTTAAAAGTTAATAGAAGGAAACCAGGAAAAATATAGATAATTATTTGATCACTGAATAGGTAAAACACAAAGGCAGAAACAAAATGGAAGAACAATAAAATGGATATACCACAAATTATCATAGAGGATATAGTTATTATTATTTGTGGGTAAAAATATTTCATACCTTGAAAACCATGAATATATTGAAAAACTATTAAAAATCAACAAAGAGCCAGGTCCAGTGGCTCACGCCTGTAATCCCAGCACTTTGGGAGGCTGAGGAGGCAGATCGCTTGAGCCCAGGAGTTTGAGACTAGCCTAGGCTTGTGAAACCCGACTAGCCTAGGCTAGTGAAACCCCATCTCTACTAAAAATACAAAATTAGCAGGGCATGGTGGTGCACACCTGTAATCCTAGCTACATAAGTGGCTCAGGCAGGAGAATTGCTTGAATCCAGGAAGAGAGGCTGCAGTAAGCTGAGATCCTGCCACTGCACTCCAGCTTGGGTGAGAGTGAGACCCTGTCTCTAAAAAAAAAAAAACCATAAACAAAAAAATCAACAAAAGAAGTTTTTTAAGTAACTGGTTAAAAATTATCAATCTTATTAAGTTTATAAAAATAAAAGGAGGAAAAGATTTCATTTTGAATAGGATACACACACATACACAAACAAACATATCCCAGGGTAGGCTTCATACTGAGCTTAGTTTTACTCATGTGTTTTCTTTTATACTAACTTTGTATAGTTTTAGTTTTCTTTTTTTTTTTTTTTTTTTTTTTTTTTTTTTGAGACAGAGTCTCACTCTGTTGCTCTTGAGCAGCTGGGACTACAGGCGTGCGCCACTATGCCCGGCTAATTTTAGTATTTTTAGATGGGGTTTCACCATGCTGGCCAGGCTGGTCTCGAACTCCTGATCTCAAGTGATCCACCTGCCTCAGCCTCCCAAAGTGCTGGGATTATAGGCATGAGCCATAACGTCTGGCCAGTTTCAGTTTTCTTCATTTAGACTCTGTATATCTCTCATTAAGCTTTATTCCTAGGTATTTTCACTTTTTTGTTCCTTTGGCAAATGGAATATATTCTTCCAGTGAGCAAAGGACAGTTCAGAGGTTCTTTCCTTGGTCTTCCATCCTTCAACCCCCATCTCCCATAGCAGAGGGGTTGGGCTTTGATAGTTTGCTTACTGTCAGCTCACAAGAGCAGAAATCACAAATCACTTCCATAAATCAGAGGTTTGTCTCTGTTTAAGAGAGGCTAAAAGCCACCTCTGTACTCATGTTAAAGGAAGAAAAACCACAATGAGAGGGGAGAAAAACTCCAGTATTTCATAGGGACAAAGTAACCTGAGAGAGAGAGCTGCACTTTTAGAAAACCTGGCTCCCACTGACATCTGAAGATAATTTTTAACATAAACCAGTTTAGGACAGAAAAGAAAGCTCTCTGGAACTAAAAACATGATCTCAAATTTTGAAACTAAATAGAAAAAAAAAACAGTGAAAGAAGACAGTCACATCTGAGAAGTCAGTCGATGTTCTAGAAGACCTCAATTAATGTTCAAAATAATGATCTTACAAAAGAAAGCAAGACGACAGATGAAAATGCTGAGAAAAGACATGAAACTTTAGGAGCACTAATAGCTATGTAACCAGATTTCCAGGAGAGAAGGAAAAAAGTAAAGAAACATATAAACAAATAACAGAGGAAATTTCTAAACACACGAAGAAAGGAATATTTAGTACAGGTCACACTGTTTTTGTAGCAAGGCCTTCCAATGAAGGAAGTGGTATATCAACTTAGATTATAGTACAAGCTCATTGTCTTCTTGAAAAACAGTAACAGTTTACAGACTGGCTACTCTGTAATCCAGTGCTATTTTATGTGTATCAGTTATTTTTGCCTACCCCCTTCCCCCAATTCAGTGTCTCTACTCATAATGGCACTTTTTCTTCTGGAGAATCCTCTTTCCCCTACTTTTAATTCTTGTGGTTTAGATGGGGGTGGGAGTTCACCTGACTCCCCAGCACAGAGTGGGCAAATGATTCATGTCTAGCGAATCAGATTATCACATTCTAGGCTAGATCAACAAAATTAATTCTGAACTTTTGTGAGAATTGCTGGGAATTCTATCCCTCTTGGCACTAGGATTGAGCACTCAAATCCAGATGTATCTGAACTATTTTAATTCCTGGAATTATAAACTACGTGATTCAACAGATTTCTTCCCACATCACCCTCCCATGCCAGGCCAAGGGATCTCAAACTTACAATATATCAAAATTACCCAGAGGTTTGTTGGAAGAAAGAAGAAAAAAAACACAATGGCTGAGCTCAACACCCCAGGTTAAGTCTAGGGTCAGGCCTTAGAGTGTGCATTTTAAGCAAGATCCCATGTGATGCTGATGCTGGTCCAAAAATGACATTGAGAACAACTACTTTCAGCCATGATGAGTTCATTTGTGTAACTTGCACCAGAAACACTTATGACCACTATACCTCCAGTCAGATGATAAACAACAACCCTTTAACAGCACTGGATTTCAGAGTAGCCAGCACAGTGAAAATCAAGACTAAGTATCAAATTATCTAGAAAATAACAAAAAAAACCTAGAACTTCATACTGAAACCTGTGCAAAACAATTAAGTTTTTCCTAAAAGAATATTTATGGTCTGAAATCCATAGTACCTATAAAAATAAAGACTGAAGATAAATTAAGCATCCAACTTATGAAAATAGAAAGAAAAATATAACAAAATTAACAAAGAAGACATTATACAAGTGAGATCTGAAAGAAACAAAAAACAGGCAAAATTGTAGATAAAAGGTAATTATTTGAAAAGGTAAATTCGCGAGATGCCTAAATGAGAAAAAAAGAAAATGAAAACCTAAAATGTTAGGAATTACTAAAATCCAATTGCAGGCTAGGTGTGGTGGCTCACACCTGTAATCCCAGCACTCTGGGAGGCTGAGGCGGGAGGATTGCTTGAGCCCAGGAGTTCAAGAACAGCCTGGGCAACATGGTGAAACCCTGTCTCTACTAAAAAAAAAAAAAATTATTGGTTGTGTTGGTGTGTGCCTGTAATCCAAGCTGCTCAGGAGGCTGAGGTGGGAGAATCACCTGAGCCCAGGAGGTCGAGGCTGCAGTGAGCCAAGATTCTACCACTGTGCTCCAGCCTGGGCAACCAGAGTGAGAGAACTTGTCTCAAAAAATAAAAAAATAAAAGAAATAAATAAAAAATCCAATTGCATATAAGGAGGAAATTTAAAGATATAAGAAAATCTTCTTTCAATTTTTGGCACAAATTAGAAAATCTAATGGAAGTAAATAATTTCTTAGTAAAATATACCAAATCCGATTGAAAAGGAAACAGAAAACTCTAATAGATATGAGAAAGCTCTGGACAATTTTTTTAACTACAAAATGCGAAGGGCTTTGGTGTTTATAGCTTAGTTCTATTACCTTTTAAAGTTGTGGGCTCTAAATTATTTTGATCATGCACACTTATTAGTAAGAATTTTTTTTGAACACCTACCCCATTATATGTAAATACAAATATACATATAATGTGTATTTGTGTGTATTTATAATATCAGGTATATACTAGTATACATTATAAAACATAAAAATAAAAGGTATATAGTAAATAAATATAAACACAAGTTGTGATGTTTTTCCCATGAAAGAAGAAATCTATTATTTATCACTTGAGAGGAGACTACTACTTAAATTCGTATTATGTTAAACTATACAGCAATACAGAGACAGAAAACTCACTAATTCATGAGACTAGAATAATCTTAATAAATTTAATAAAACTTAAAGAGGAAAGTACACAAAAAGTCCTAGTTATGTATGACTGATAAATATGATGAAACTGAATAAGCAAATAATGACTAAAAAGGGTCCCACTTCCACACAGGAATGTAAGAATGCTTTAACTTCATAAAATCTATAGATGTAACTCACTTTATCAATATACTAGAGTAGAAAATTAATTATGTCGAGAGATGCTGAAAACATTTTTGATATAATAATTTAGCAGCCATCCACAGTAAAAACTCTGAGTAAACGAGGAGAAAAAGAAAGCAATTTAAACATGATTATTTACTGAAAAACAATAGCAAACATCAGACTAAACTTGAAATATTAAAGCTATTTTCATTAAATTGGAAGACAAAATGCTTGCTGTCATCAGCATCATTCAACACTGCTTAGGAAGTTTGAGTGTATTCCTAAGAAAAGAATAGGTACAACTCTTGGAAAAGAGACAAAACTTTCCCCTAAATCTTTACACAGCTTTTCTCTACAGTAGGCAAGAACCAGTTAAAACTGAAGAAAAAAAATTCATTCAAAATAGCATCAAAAACTACAATACCTAAAAATAAATAGCATAAGGTGTGGAATCTATTATATATGAATACCCTACTGAAGGTTTCAAAATAACTTGAACAAATGGTTAAATATAATCTGCATACTCCCACAATCCCATTCTCTTCTCTGCCTCTTAAGAGTAAGTACTCTCATGAATTTAGGGTTTATCATGTTTTCACATTTTTGCCACACATGTAAGTATCCATACATAATACATAATATCATTTGATGGTTTTAAAAAATTAATATAGATGGAGTAAATTTCATACACTCTGTGCAACTTACATTTTTATTCAACAATACAGTAGGGTTTTTAAAAAAGGAGTTATCCTTGAGATGTAGCTCTAATATGTTCACTTTAACTGCCATATCATCCTAAGAATATACTATAATTTAAAAATTCTCATTTACAGACATTTAGGTTTCTAGTTTTTTGTTACTACAAACAATGCTCTAAGTAACATTTTTGCATAATTCTCTTTGTGTGAAAATGACCATGCCCCACATTGAGAAAACATTTTCAATCTTGATTCAGTACTCGCACAAATACACACACCACAACTCAAAAGTTTATGAAACAAGTTACTCTTACTACATGCAAAGTGCTCTGATGATTTTTATTCTATCTCATTTTTTAAAATTAATAATACTGGTCATAACCCATCAAATAGATCTCAAAGCCACCAGTGGGCCCCAACCCACAGTTTGAAAAACACTGCCATGAAAAATCTACCCAGAAGTGGAGTAAAAAGATATGAACAATCTTCCACCAGATATTGCCAAATTGCTCTATGAAGTGGTAGTGTCAAGAATCCCATCAGTATTGTGGAACGTTCTTCACAATGCTTGGTACTGTCAGACTTTGAAATTTCTGCTAGTTCAACATGAGTGAAATGATGTCTCATTTAGGTTAGTAATGCCACACAGTTTTTCAGTGAATATTTTTCTTTATGAATTACTATTTGTTCATTTCTGTCAGGCTTTGTTTTTTCTTTTTGATTTGTAGTGCTTTTTGGATATTAATTATTTATCAATTACATGCACTGGAAATATCTTTTCCCACTCTAACTTTGTTTATATTAATGATGCTAGATTGAAATGTCAGTTTGGTTACGGCTAGCACCTGTATTTCACAGAAATCTCCTTCTCTGGATGGTTCTGAGGTAGAGTCAACCAAAAGAGAAACTTGTACAAGATTTGGAAGTGAAGAAGTCATTATTCTTGGACCTGGCCAGACTTGGTAACAGACACAGACCTGCCCAGCAGGTCCCAGCTGTTCTCTCTCTGGTGCTCTGTGCTCAGCTTGTTTTCCCAACTGTTGGCCCTGCTGACCAACAGCAGCCTGCCACTGGTCCACTCGGAGGCAGCAGTTTCCACAGGCCTCTCCAGAGACTCCCTCTTCCAGTTCCCTTTTCATAGTCACATGTGCCTGGCTTTTTGGAATTCCCTGCAAGCTCTGATTTGTACCCCTCAGCCCAGTGCTTCTGAAGACTGGTTAATGACTATTTCTCTAAAACACTGACTCTTCCATTGCCCTGCAACTCCCACATAACGTATAAGGTCTAAATCCCTAATTTCTATAGATACTTTGAGTGGTTTTATCTGTCTGACTGAAACCTTTGCCTGGTAGAAGTTTAAATTTTAGAGCAATTTTATTAATCTTATCCCTTATGGTTTGTACTGTTTGTACCTTCTTTTAAAAAGATCTTTCCCAAACCTAAGATCACAGGAATATTATCCTGTATTTCCTTCTAATATTGTTGTAAAGCTTTGCCTTATGTCTTTAAAAATGGTATAAGGTAGGGGTCCAATCTTACTCTTTCTCTACAGATAGACAATTTTCCCAGGACCATATATATACAAAATAAATTTAATATAAATAAGGTAATCCTATTATTCCAAAAAAAAGAAACATCTCTTTATGAGAACAGTTCAAGTTGTAACTCTTGGCCGGGCGCAGTAGCTCACGTCTGTAATCCCAGCACTTTGGGAGGCCGAGGCAGGCGGATCACTTGAGGTCAGGAGTTTGAGACCAGCCTGGGCAACGTGGCAAAACCCAGTCTCTAAAAAAAAATACAAAAATTAGGGTGTGGTGGTGCACATGTGTAGTCCCAGCTGCTTGGGAGGCTGAGGTGAAAGGATCACCTGAACTTGAGAGGTGGAGGTTGCAGTAAGCCAAGACTGCACCACTGCACTGCAGCCTGGGTGACAGAGTGAGACCCTGTCTCAAAAAAAAAAGAGAGGGGAAGGGAGCGGGGAGGAGGGGGAGGAGGGGGAGGAGAGGGGAGGAGAAGTGAGGGGAGGAGAGAAAAGTTGTAGCTCTTAATCTGTTATTTTAACCAAATTTCAAAAATTAAAATGCCAATGTGAATTTGGAAGAATCTTTATATAAGCTCTTCAAATTTATTAGAACAGAATTTGACTTGCATATCCTTATTATGTAGAATTTAAAAAGTCTAGCTGGAGACTGCTGAAAACTTTGTGATTCCCCTAGATTGTTACTGGGGTTTGGGATGCAGAACTAGTATTTCAGTGGAAGGATTCAGCAGTGCAAGTAACAAATTCAGTGGAAGGATTCAGCAGTGCAAGTAACAAAATTTTCTGTTGATCAGTCTTCATCTTGATCAGCTCTTACTCTGTTCACACAGGAACAGATTGGATGTCATAGTTAGCAGATATAAATCATGATAATTTATGTTTAAGACATTTAAGCATAATTTTTAAAATTTAAGTGACGTTAAAATTTACAAGTGATACTCTGAACAATGTCATAATGTTCATTTAAACATCTACATACTTAATATTAGAGGCTAAATTAATTTCCTTTTTAGAAAGGATATCAAATTTCTAAAATACTACCAAATTATCACAATACCCTTGTACCGAAATCATACAATAAATATATGATCTAATTTCACCAAGGCCACAGTCTAAAGCAAGAAAGCTAAGTTACTTCTTAAATCCATAATTTCTACTTGAACTATTATTAGAGTTGCTTCTGGAACTTTTTTTCTGTAGGCATTATTTTATTATTTATTATAATCAGCAATCAGAAAATCAACCTAAAATTCTGATTATTTGCCACTTGGCTTCTGACCATTCCAATGGCATCTTGGGAGACCTATGCAGCGCCAAATGAAGCTCAGCTCCACACAATGTCTGGCAGAGGGTGATGAGAATGGCACATTGTCTGCCCAGTCTGAACAGAGGTCACAGCAGGGAGAGCATCTGCTAAGATAATGTGAATGAAGGAAACAACTATAATTGCCTCATTAAGAGATCCCTGGCCAAATAATCACAAGAAGAAAGGACTTGGATAACCATCCTAAAATTAGGCTATAATAAAGAAACTTGGGATAGAATTAAAAATACAGAAGAATTAAGAAGACTTGGGTATTCTACTGGTTTTACTAATTTCCTTAGTCACCATATGGATGACTGAAAATTTGGATGCAATAGTTTAGTTATTCAACTCGAGCCTCTGCCAGTCATTAGTAGGAAGTACAAGATGCAAATTCACAGCTGTCCAGGATACAAACAAATGTAAAATAAAGAGTTGTGGGGAATTTCTTACAGGGACCAAAATATAGAAACTAAGAAGGGATATCAACTGATCTATAGTTCGGAGTTACAATGAAAAAAAGCATACAAGTAAAAGATATAAGGAACATTTTAAAGGGGAAAGACAAAATTTAAAAGAGCAGTCTCAAAAAGGCAAAGGAGAAAAATGAACAAATTGTCTCTCCCTAATCAATTTACCTTCTTTTACTTTCTACCTCCATCTTTTAAAACTATTTTTTTCCCAAAAGTCAACATTGTATAATTACAACTAAATCCTCAGTCACTTCATATTACCATATGTATATATTTTATGCAACAGTGTTGATAAATTAAATATTTCATAGTAAAAGCTGAAGTAAATATTTTCCCAATTTAAATTTAAATTAAGTATACAAATGCATACAAGACTAAAATGTATTGATATTGTGACAAACTATTTTTACATTTCCTGATATTTTGAGGGTAAGCTATGTGAACTTAATTTGTATTATGCAGCTAAAATTTATTATTATATAAATAGTACCTTGAAGTAAACCATAGTGATTAAACTTTTCTGATTCCAACAAACACAATAAAATTAGCTTGTTATAACCATAAGCCAGGTTTAAAATAAGCAAACTATTTGATGACTTTGATGTTTTGCAACCAAAATGTGCTGGCTAATTTTTCCATTCCATTTACCATTCTGGTCTTTAAACTGCCTTAATCTCCTGCCCTCAGATGTTGACCTTGTAAGAATAGGGGTTATAGGTCAGAATAGACAGACCTCAAAGGATCTAGACTATCAATTCATGCCTGAAAGATTTCTCTGCCACAATAGGAACCTACTAAACAGCAAATTCCTAAATCTAATCACACAAGTATCAGGGTGAAACAGTTATTTATTGGTATTTGTTGATCTACATTTCAAACATCTCTATCATCTAAAAAGCATTTTTATTTTTATTTTGGGAACAGAATCTGGGATATAATACACATAAAAAATAAAATCCTTGACAGAATTTTAAAAGTAAAACAGATATTCTTTAATAAAATGACACCATAAACCTAAACATGGGTTTTTTTCTGTTTTCAGGAATGCTATGGAGATTTCAAAAATATAATACTAGATTTCCCAAGCATAAAGTACCTGGAAAAATGTCAAATTATACCACTGAGATAATGAGTGGAAGAGGTTAATATTGCTGTAGAGGTGGGTGGGAGTGGGGCAGAATTACCACTAGTTAGTTTTCAGCTTACTTGCTCTAAAACTGAATGAGGGCAATAAATAAATATTTTTCTGTTTAATAAAGAAATGTGAATTTACAGCACCTCAATAAGGAAGCCCACACTGATTCTCGTAATCCCAAAAACAAAAACCTAATGGCTTATAAAATTTTCTTGCAAATTTAAAGAATTTGAGGCCACAAAATTATGGCTCTACAAAAATAACTTTACTATCACACATCTCCACTTTCTTTTTTAAAAAGGCAAGTTAATTCATGTGAGCTAAGAATAAATCAGACATAATTGGTTTCTGTTTCTGTTCATCTTGGTCTTTCTGATCATAAATGATAAATACACCATGATGTACCATTTTAGTACTGACTACAAGGAATGTTAAATTTCACAATCAATTTTTAAATCTAAATAAGTAGCATCTTAAAAATGATAAGTTAACAAATTCTTCTACTATGATCAAACTAAAGAAATTCCCCAAGCTTCCAAGCCAAAAGTAGTAACATCAAACATCTTTTTTTTAACAGTCTATTAGCCTTCTTTCTAAACAAAATATATTACCACTTTAACTCATGTAGAAAATCAAAAAGCTTACTCATACTAACGTAGTTATAAAAACTAAATATTGAACAAAATGAAATAAAAGCAGCAGAATGTATTATTTTCTAAGTTATTTTTAAAAATTCAAGTCAACACTGCATTATTATGAATGACACTTCTTGGAATATGTGGTTGGGTCAAAATATGTGGAAGGTTAAGAAAAACAAAAAAGACAGTCACTACTCTAAAAAAATCGGAATTTAAAAAGGAGGTAAAAAAAGAAACCATGAACAGTTAAAAATTACAAAGCTATATGTATACAACCAACATATACACTACATATCCATGCACTTTGTGTTCTTTAAAATTATGCACATTTTTATTCACCAAGTATTAAGGAGTAAAAACATTTAAACTATATATAAAAAAGATTTCCAGACCATTTTAGTCTAAATCCTTTTTACATATTTAACATATCTGTTAATATAAACTAAAATTATATTATATATTTAATTATGTACTACAGGCTGACATGATTATTTCATATAAATAATAGAAATCAACTGTGGCAAAGAAAATAATTCTACCACCCTCACCCATAATTTCATTATGTTGGAAGTCACTCACTCTTTTTCTTCATAGTAAATCATGTTTTTAAAGAGAACAAAAAGTCCCAAGTATAGGCTAGTTTTATAGAAGAAATATAACATTTCTTAATTTTTTATTAACAATCTTCACTTTTTTATAAAGACAGCTGTATAGACTCGTTAAATTTCTTTACTCTTTTTGTAATGAACTTAAGAAAAACTAAATAGAAAAAAATCAGAAATTATTTCGTTTGAAATGTTAAGAAAACTTTTCAAATGTGGAGGATTTAAAATAAAACAACACAATATTTACTACCTTGAGTAACCAGAAAGTTGTAAGTGGACGCTAAATTAAGCAGAATTTTAAGAGAGAATAAAATAATCCCATTTTCTTTTATAAACAGTCTACTAATAATTAAAGTGGAATCTTCAAAATTATTTTACATTTTTTTTGCCACAGGGAGTAACTCTTCACAAAATATGATTCTACCTTATATACAAACATTAGAATTGAACAAATAAGTTCTCAAGTGATGAAATCATATTTGGAATTTGTTAAACATATTAATACCATGTAATCAAAACTTTGAAATTTCAATTTTTAACCAAAAATGACAGAAACTAAACTTTCTAATCTAAAAACATTTCAAGAAAAAGGATATTCTTTTCAATAAACGATGTTTGAACAATTCATATTACACATGGCAGAAATGAACCTCTACCTAGGCCTTACACTTTATATAAAAACTAACTCTAAATGGATCATTGATGTAAACAGAAAATGTAAAGATTGATAAATCATCTTCATTCAAATTAAAAACTTTTGTTCTAGAAAAGATATTTAAGAGATTGAAACGACAAGCCACAGTCAGGGAGAAAATATCTACAAATCATGTATCTGGCAAAAAAAACTTACACAAAGAGTTCTTAAAGTGCAATAAGAAAACACACAACCCAGTAAAAAATGGGCAAAAGATATGAAGAAACAGTTTGTCAAAGAGTATATGAGGGTGACACAAAAATACATATAAAGTTGCTTAATATCAGTAGCTATTAAGGAAATGAAAATTAAAACCATGATGAGATATCACCACACGCCTAACAGAATGGTTAAAAAAAATTTTTTTTTTTTTGAGGCAGGGTCTTGCTGTCACCCTGGCTAGGGTGCAGTAGACTGATCACGACCCACTGCATCTTTGACCTCTCAGGCTCAAGTGATCCTCCCATCTCAGTACAAGTAGCTGGGACAACAGGGATGCACCACCATGCCCAGCTAATTTTTTTACTTTTTGCAATGACAGGGTTTCTCCATGTTGCCCAGGCTAGGTTCAAACTTCTGGGCTCAAGCAATTCACTGGCCTCGGCCTCCCAAAGTGTTGGTGTTAAAGGTGTGAGCCACCACACGGGGCCAAAATTTTTAAAAATTGGCAATACCAAATGCTGGCAAAGATAGGTGGCAGTTCGAACTCTCACATACCAGTGGTGGGAATGCAAAAGAAAAATAATTACTCTGGAAAACAATTTGGCAGTTTTTTATAAAGTTAAACATACATATATGACCTTATTATGCAGCAATCCCACTCCAAAACTGAAAATGAATCTTCACACACTTGTGCATAAATGTTTATGGCTGTTCTATTCATAATTGTCACAACTGGACACCACTCAAATGCCCTTCAATAGATTAATAAGTAAACAGTGTTATAGCTATAAAATGGAATACTATTCAGCAAAAAAGTGAACTACTGATACACTCAACAGCTTGGATGAATTTCAAAGATTATTATGCTGAGTGAAAAAATGCAATTTCAAAATGTTACACACTGTATGATTCCACTTACATGTCATTCACAAAAACACAAAACTACAGTGAAAGAGAATAGGTCAGAGGCTGCCAGGGGTTATAGGTGGGGAAGGGGTAACCATTATAGATAGAGGGAGATTTTTGGGGGTAATAAACTTTCTGAATCTGGATGATGGTACTGACTACAGGAATGTATATGTGTGTTAAAATTCATCTAACTGAATACCAAAAGAAAAAAATTCAATTTTCACTTTGGGAGGCCAAGGCGGGCGGATCACGAGGTCAGGAGATTGAGACCATCCTGGCTAACACGGTGAAACTCCGTCTCTACTAAAAAAATATAAAAAATTAGCGACGTGTGGTGGTGGGTGCCTGTGGTCCCGGCTACTCGGGAGGCTGAGGCAGGAGAATGGTGTGAACCTGGGAGGCAGAGCTTGCAGTGAGCCAAGACTGCGCCACTGCACTCCAGCCTGGGCGATGGAGCCAGACTCCATTTCAAAAAAAAAAAGAAAAAAAAGAAAAAAGGTCAATTTTACTATATGACAATTTAATATTATGTATATATTTATATACAGAAATATACCAATGCTTACTTCCAAATTTAATATAAATTAACTGGAATTCTAGCTTTCTGGTACATCAGCAGACCAAATCAATTATTTAATATCATTATTTTAAACATTTTGTAGGCCATAAGGTCAGTATGAAAGTATCTTATACCAGTAAGAAAGTACTCAAAAAATGATGAGGACCCATCAAAAGGACACAGAAACCAGCCTGAAGGGGCTCCTACTGGTCAAATCTGGGAAATTTGACCAGTAAAATAAATAACGGTGGTTACAGATTATAACTTTCAGAAAAATGCAGAAATCCATGGTTCAGACTAATATAATAAATGAAAATTTAAAAGTTTGATGGTGAATGGGATATTTACATAGTCAAAATATCTCCCCACAAAATGCTTATTAAAAAAGGAAAAAGAAGCCACTTTAAATAGGTAAGGTGGGCATACATGTTTGGCGGCCATACTTAATTTTTCCTACCTTTTTGTATTCTAAAAATTTTCATAATAAAAGTCAAAATAAAATAAAATAGAAGGAAATAAAAATAATCACAGGAAGTATTAGGGGAAAAACAGTATAACAGAAATTAATCCAAGAGGCAGGGTGCAGTAGCTCACGCCTGTAATCTTTGGGAGGCTGAGGCAGGCGAATCACCTGAGGTCCAGGATTCGAGACCAGCCTGGCCAACATGGTGAAAACCCATCTCTATTAAAAATACAAAATTAGCCAGGCACAGTGGTGCACACCTGTAGTCCCGGCTACTCGGGAGGCTGAGGCAGGAGAATTGCTTGAACCCAGGAGGCAGTGGTTGCAATGAGCCTAGATCAGGCCATTGCACTCCAGACTGGGCGACAAGAGCAAACTCTGTCTCCAAAAAAAAAAAAAAAAAAAAAGAAAGAAAGAAAGAAATTAATTCAAGAGCCTGTTCTTTGAAATACAATACATTATCTTATCAAGAAAAAATAGCAATAGGAAATAACTAGAGAATCAAATATTTTATAAGATTTTCAAGGCTGCTTCACATAATTGTACTAATAAACATAAAATCTGGATCAAAGCACAATTTTATTCTCATTACTAAAACTGTCTCAGGAAATAACCATGAAAGAAATCAAGAAAGTTATCAAAGATCTTTGAAGTTTTTTAAACATTTGGGGAGCAAATCATGCCTTGGTAACTGTTCCAGCCATCAGCTGACAAAGATCCATTTCTTGCTACCACACTGTCAAATCTTGTTTTCTCATGGTGTCAGTTTCTATGCAGGAGTCTCTATGTTTATTGAATATTTTATTGTATGTTGTCTCTACACCATTTTGTAAAAACAAGCAGCACATGGAAAACTGGAATTGCTAATCCTAGTGACAAAAATTATGGACACCCTTAGCTTAATAGAAAGTTGGAAATTATTAGATATTAAGTGTGTCAAAGCTTTAATTACAATAAGACACACAGTAAGAGTAAGGAGTTGGAACAGTTATTCACTTCTGACCACCACCACCTCGTACCTTGCCAGATCAGTACCCCAACTATAATTCTTTGACTCCACTGCAACCCACACCCCATGTGTTTACTTACCACCTTTTCAATGTCTTCACTCTTTATACAGTTTATATTCTATCATCCATCATTACATTTGCTGCCCTGCATACATCTCCAGTGCCCTTTGTCATTCTCAACTAGGAAAAACCTCAACTCTAGTTAAATCATTTTAATGACTGTTTTACAGCTGTAGCCATGAAGTCAACAATGGCTGGAGAAAAAACACAATCACATTAACTGACTTTAAATTCGTACCCACTATTCTTATGTGGGTCTTTGGCACAGCCTGAAATTCTACCTCTTTTCTATAATGTGTTCATTCTTCTATTTTATACGTCTTTCTTGTTAAATTTCCAAACCTACTCTTCTACCATCACTCTCAGTTGATGACCGTGCTTCAAATTCAAAGAAAAAAAAAACCAGCATAAAAAAGAGAAATCTCGCCTTATCCTACCTTCATATCTATCTACCACCTGCATCTGTGCCCATAAGCTACGCCTTTCCTCCAGGTTTGTAAGAATGAACCTTCTGTACTCACATGATCAGCTCCCCCAGTTGTGCTTTAAATCCCAATACTGTCACCCACTCAAGGAAATCACTCCAGTAATCGTTCTCCTCTCTCCTGCATGTTCAATCTTTCCTTTGCACTAGACCATTCCTATGAACATATAAACATGCTATAATTTCTTCCATTTAGCCACTGCTTTGTTTCTTTCCTCCCATTTATTATAGAAACACTTCTCAAAAGATTGTCTAAACTTGCTGTCTCTGCTTCCTCTGTTTTCATTCTCTGTATTGAACACAACCCACGAAGGCTTTCACCCCCACCAGTCCACTCAGCCCGTTCTTGTCAACCTCAGACCTCAATAATGACTTCCGTGTTGCTAAGCGGTCAAGTTTCAATGGTTATCTTACTTGATCATTTCACCATCAGCACCATTTAACATACCTGATACCCTTTCTTGAAATATTTTCTTTCCCTGACTTTCCCTCCTATTTCCCACCTTCTTACTTAGTGCCCTTTGCTGTTCCTCCCTCTTCTTGACTCTTAAATGCTAGAGTGCCCCAGGGCTTAGTCCTCTTCTTACCTATGTATACTCACTGTGATGGTGATCTTATCTCCTCTTGTGGCTGTAAATATCATCTTTTTGCTAAATGTTGCCAATTTTTTAACTCCAGTGCTGGAACTCCATATAGTGCATCCATCTGCCTAATATACATCTTCACTTGGATGTGCATTATGTATCTCTAATTAAATGTCTGAAACTATACTTTTGATTTCAGGCTCCTTCTGTAGGTTTCCCCATCTTGATAAATAGTCCCTTCATCTTTCCTGTTGTATAGGCCAAAAAACCTTGGAGTCACCCTGGACTCTTTTCCTCTGATAGTCCAAATCTAATCAATCCATCAGTAAATTCTATGGTCTCTTCCTTCAAAACATATCAGAATTTTTGTTCACCACTTCTACTGCTACTACCCTTGTCCAAACCACCACTAGCTCTTTTCTGTATTATTGGAACTTCTTCTTTAGTGGTCTTTCAGCTTCTATCCTTGCCTCTCCACATTGTGCTGTCATTGCAGCTGCCAGAATGATACTCTGAGTAAATCAGATCATGTTACTTTTCAACCTAAAATTTCCCAATGACTTCCTATTTTCTCCAGAATCAAAGTCCTTAAAATGGTTGACAAGATCCAATATGAAAAAATGTCCTGCCATCTTACTCTTCAAATCTCAACCTCCACTATTCTCCCTCACATACTGATTCCAACCCAGAATTGGAATGTAAAGCATTCTAGAACTACTTTGTTAAAGATTTTATCTAAAAGACATGGAAAAATAAAGGGCTGTTTTATTTTACTTTGCTTTACTTGTACGTATTTAAGTATGTATGCAGGTATTATCTCCATGGGAGCAGAAAACCACTTTAATAGCTAAGTGTATCATTAAACTTTCACACACATTCATGGACTTTCTTTTGTACAAAATGAGCTCCTAAAAATGTCAATGAAAATGGAATTTATTGTTTCACTGGATAGCTTTTCAAACCAATAGGAAAATATGAAATAGGCAACAAGTGCTACAGAGATAACTGGTTACCAATTTGGAGAGAAAAGAAAACCTAGACCTTTACAGTTCTTTCTTCAAAAGCAAATTAGATTATAAAGAGAAGAGATACTTAAGTGTAAAATATAAATTAACTAAAATAATACTAAAAACATAAATGAATATAGCATATTTTTAATTTTGTAGTTTGGAAAATGAAATAAAGTCAGGTAACATCAAGGAGAGTCACAGACTTGTCTGTAAAAAATTCAAAACTTCAAAATACTTTTTAAAAACTATCATTAAAGATAAAATATATTTTATAAGCTAAAAAAATTTCTTATTTTTTATTTGAGAAGAAAGATTCATATCCTAAATATATCAAGAGAACTTAGAAATCAATAATAACAAACAAACATCTCAATAGAAAATGGTCAATGGACAAGAAATGTACAATTCTTAGAAGAAAAAAATGAAAACATATAAAATATATTCAACCTCCAAAGTAATCAAATAATGTGAAAAAAACCACAAACAAACAATGAGCTACATCTCTAACCTATGTAACTGGAAAAGATTTTAAAAAGACAACATTCAATGAGCTGTCTCACTTTCAGAGGTGTTACATACTGGCCCGCTAATCATTTCTGGAGAGTAGTTTAGAACTAGGTATTGAAATTTTTAAAATACATATTTTTTTGATCCAGATTTTCACTATTAAGTATTTACCCTAAAGATATAATCAGACAACTTTTCAAAAATGTACATCTAAGAGTTCCCACAGTGGTGTTATTGATCAATTCAAAATACATGAGGTAGCCTAAATATCCACTAACATATTATTCTTTAAATTATATTTTGGTACATTCAAATAGTAAAATTTATGAAGTGATAACAATTGACATGAAATATTCTATAATATACTATTAGGTGAAAAAAATTACAAGTTTCAAAATACCATATATATTATAATTCCCACCTCTAGGATTTCAAGTGATTTTTTCCTCTTTACGGTTTTTATATTATTTGGACTTTCTATACGTGAGCTGTCTTTCAAAAACAGACAAAACAATAGGTACATTTTCATTTGAAAAAAGAGGTGAGGTGTTTGGCAAATTCTGGGTGTAAAAAGGGGCACCTCTATCTATTGGGAACTTCAACTCCTCAACTGGGGTCTCAGAACAGTCTGGTGGAAAAGGTGGTCAAGGAACTATTCAGTGCTTAATGCTGAAGGCTCAGTTCAGTACATTCTGCAGATAATTCAAACTGCAAGATAGCCTATATTTCTGATATTTAATATATTCTACATGATGGTGGTTTCCTTTGGCTAGACAATATGAAATGCAGTAAGATGAAAACATTTTCAGAAATCCTTTCCAAACACAATAAACTGATAAATTAACAAAGTAAAAATGATTACCTATCTCCCTTTGGTTTTCTTTTCTGTAGTGTCTTCCCTTTGGGTCTTCTTTCACTTCCTAAACAGGGGCTCCCACCAGGTCCTGTTACCCGTATTGACTCAAGGCCTTTGGAAGATTTTTTAAATGTGAATTCCACTGGTTCTCCTTCTTTTAGGCTTCTAAATCCTTCCATGAATAGTTTGCTCTGTAAAGAGCAGAAGAGGGTGGGGGAGAAAAAGAGAGATTAAAATTATCATTGCTTTATAAATTATCTCTATAATTTTAAAAAAGAAAGATACTCTGTCATGCATTACAAAAGTATAAAGTCTTAAGTTCAGTGAAACATATACCATTTTAAAGTTTCTTTTTGCAATACTGGCAGTGGGAGAAAAAAATTTTTAAGGCAATTTGGCAATACTTAGAAAAATTAAAATGTGCATATTCTTTGTCCCAGCAATTCCACAATTAATAATTCTACTACAGACATACACAAAGGCTCAAAAAGATACCACAGCACTGATTGGTAAAAAATAATTACATCTATCTGAACATCTATCAATGGGAAACTGATTAAATAAATTATTAATATAATAGCACCATATAACATTATTAAGCCATTAAGAGAAGTTTTATTAGTTCTACATGTTCTAATGTAGAAAGATAAGCATGTCATATTGTTGAGTTAAAAAAAAAAAGAGTTAAAGAACTGTGTCTACCATAATGCTATCTATGTAAAATTTTAATTTTGTTTATTTATTTTTGATATGGGACTCACTATGTTGCCCAAGCTGGTCTTGAACTTCTGGGATTTTCTAGCCTCAGCCTTCTGAGTAGCTGAGATAACAGGCACATGCAGAGTCCAGCTAAAGTTTTTAAAAGATATATGTTTATTATATAGAGATGTGGTCTGAAACAACAGACACTAAAGAGTCGTTTTCTCCAGTCCCGTTCTAGAAAGGTAGCAAAGTTTTCTGGTATATACATTACTGCGTCGTTTGAGCTTTTTATAATTTGAAAGGAAATCAGATTTCATATTTGAAAGATAGCTGATTTTTTGTAAAAATAACAATGTTCACCAATTACAAAATTGTTGATTTTGGTTTCAAATATTATTTGGCTCTTTCAATCCTCTTTTCATCAAAGTCAATGTGCCAGTTCAAAATATACTAAAAATAATTCAATCAGTAGTTTTATTTATTTTTTCAAACCCCTCTGTGTACATTTTACAGATCTAATTTAGAATATCATGTAGTTTTTAAAGACTCTCCTGAATTGGTGGGGCAACAGAAATAAAACATGATGGTAGAAGTCCTTAGTTCAAGTCCAGTTCTTTAAATAAACTGCTATATTGCTTTGAATAAGCCATTTGCTGTCGTTTCTGTTCATTTGTAAATTCAAAAGATTTGAGTTCTGAGTAACAACAAGACCACGAGAAAAAGGTTTTGTGGTCAAGTAAGTTTGTAAAACACTGTATGTTGTTTCTCTGTGAGAGACTCATATTAGCATATTAAAGTCTCAGGAATGTTCTCACCTCCCCAACTCCCACAAAACTAAAAATCTTTTTTAACTCAGCAGTTTCCTGACCTAATTGATCCCAGAGCCCCTTCTTTAAGTACAGATGACGAACATACTTAGAGAAATATTGGACCAGAAAATCTTCAATTCTCCAAGTCCATGACTCTAAAGGCAGCTAAATAATTACATGTAGCCAAATTATTACATAGAATAAATAAAAACAAAACTTCAAAAATTCATTGCAAAAGGAGACCATTCATTGTGAAAGCAAGACAGCCCATGAAAACAGGGTTATTAACCTGCTTCTAGTGCAGGTCACCTGGCATAGTGAAATCTTTCATGTGGAAGTCTGCAATTTGGCAGCACCTTTTCTGCTCTCTGATGAAATGTTGGGGGAAAAAATCACAACTGCCTACATTCTTTAAAATAATAAAGTATTATTATTAAAGCTATTTTAACATTTCTAAAGCATCTTCTCATTTTTTCCTAAGCTTTCTCTTCACTAATTATAAATAGTTATTTTGCTTTCATTTCCTTTCTCCCTCTCCACTCAAGAAGGTACAGATTATTTCTCTTTTACAGATGAAATGGAGCATAGTTCAGCTACTGAAATTATGAGAACAAAGAAACAGCATTTTTTATTAGAGCTATCATATGTTCATATGTTTTGTTTTGGCAACAAAAACTCTATCACTGGGCTAAGCGCGGTAGCTCACACCTGTAATCCCAGCACTTTGGGAGGCCAAGGCGGGCAGATCACCTGAGGTCAGGAGTTCAAGACCAGCCTGGCCAACGTGGCAAAACCCCGTCTCTACTAAAAAAATACAAAAAATTAGCCAGGTGTGGTGGCGCTCGCCTGTAATCCCAGCTACTTGGGAGGCTGAGGCAGAAGAATCAGTTGAACCTGGGAGGCGGAGGTTGCAGTGAGCGGAGATCGAGATCGTGTCACTGCACTCCAGCCTGGGCAATGGAGTGGAAACCCTGTCTCAAAAAAAAACAACCAAACAAACAAACAAAACTCTATCACTTAACTCCTCATAGCTCTTAAGTGCACTTTTGTAGGAGTTGGTGCATAGTTCCTAGTGAACTCAATTAAGCTGGTATACTTTCACTTAATTTAATTTTCCATTATTATGATTTTTGATAGGTATCTTATAAGTGAACTGCTTTTCCAAATCTAAAGTAAAATTCCAGCTCTTACAAACTAATAAATTCTAGCTGTTGTTCATGATATTCTGAAAGAATACTTTAAAAAGTTCTATCATATATGTCCCCCTCCCCAAATTAGTCCATAAGGCAATTTAGTTTCATAATACTTGGCAAAAAAATATATATATATTATATATTTTATATATATAAAATATATAATATATATTATATATTTTATATATATAATATATATAATATATATTATATATATTATATATATATATAGGTTATATATTATATATATTATATAATATAATTATATATATTATATAATATAATTATATATATTATATATAATATAATTATATATATTATATATAATATAATTATATATATTATATATAATATAATTATATATATTATATATAATATAATTATATATATTATATATAATATAATTATATATATTATATATAATATAATTATATATATTATATATAATATAATTATATATATTATATATAATATAATTATATATAAATATATATATTATTTATATATATAATAATAAATAATAATTATATATAAATAATATATAATATAATATATATTATATATATATATATATCCATAAGAAACTATAATGGCTTTGCAAGAAAAAGACAAGAATTCACACAGAATACTCTGTCTTTGCTATTAGACCAAAATAGCTGCTACATAGGTGGAAAAGATTGTTGAAAGGTAAGGAATTAGCTCCCTGTATTTGTTCCCCCAAAAATCAACTTATCCCCTTAACTTGCCAATTTTTATTGAAGGTTTCTCCATTTTTCCAATTACACTGGTTCCAATGCTTACTTTTACCCAAACCATTTATGGAATCTTGTTTATTTTTGCTTACTATCTCTCCTCTCTCATCTGCCCCATCCACTTCATTGGATTGCTATCACCCTACTTCAGGTCTTAACTATTGCTGGGATTCAGAAAACAATACAACAAAAAAGAAAACTTTAGAAGCAGTTTTTCTCTGACCTTCTCCAGTCTTCCTGTTTCTCAGTCTCATTTCCCCGCAAGGCTAGCCATAGAAACTGGAATCCCTCTTCTCCAAGGTAGGTTACAGAACCAGAACCCCTTTTCCCCAAAGCCAGCCATAAAACCTAAAAACATTACTCTAATTCCATCCCCACCCAGACCTTTCTGTGCAAAAACTGACCTACCTTGTTTGACTCTGAGTCAGTAAGACCTCCAATCAGAGAAGATCCTGCCCATACCCAAAAGGCAGGAATGCATGCTCAGAGAGGCCAAGAAAAATCTAGACAGACAGACCTTGCTGGGTTTCCCTACTCAGTCTGTTAGCATTAGATCATACATAATCTTTTTGTCCAATTATATTTCTTTACAGCTGTCTATACTTTGTTAAACATATGCCTAAAAATGTACAATTTCCCCTGAATTTTTGAATCATCATTCTGGAGGCTCCTGTGTCACGGTAAAACTATGATCAAATAAACTTGTAAGCCTTTTCTCCTATTAATCTGCCTCTTGTCAGTAATTTTTAGTGAATCTTCAGAAGGCAAAGGGAAAGTTTACACTATCTTCTACCAAGATAAGTGTAATAGTTTCTTCACTGGCATCTCAGCATCACAACTGCTCATTACTCTACATCATCTTCCATACCTGCACATTCTCTCTCAATAAATCTTAGCCTGTTAAGTCCCTTGTCTCAAAAATCTTTTTTTGAGACCCTTGTCTCAAAAATCTACAATTCTGCTCTTAGGTTGTAGGTGAGATCCTTCATAATCTTACCTTACTTACATTTTCCACTTCATTTCCCATTACTCTAAAACACAATCCCTCCATTAGTAAAACTGGATAACTTATATTTCTCTGAATATTTTCTCATTTCTGTATTCTATCTTATTCCAGTCGGGGATGTACTCTCCTAGTCATGGCTTTCTATTAAAATCTTACTTGGTAAGACCTCAACAGCAAGGCAAAAATAGACAAAAAAGACTTAAACTAAAAAGCCTCCTTCTTCACAGCAAAAGAAATAATCAACAGAGTGAACAGACACCCTGCGGAATGGGAGAAAATATTTGCAAATTAGTTATCTGACAGGTAGATTAATATCCAGAATATACAAGGAACTCAAACAACAAAAATAGTGAGCAAAGAACATGAATAGACATTTTGCAAATAAGACATACAAATGGCCAACAGGTGTATGAAAAATGTTCAACGTTACATCACTAATCATCAGAAAACCACAATGAAATATCATCTTACCACAGTCAGAATGGCTATTATTAAAAAGATGTTAGCAAGGATGTGGGAAAAAGAGAACTCTTATACACTGTTGGTAGGAATGCAAATTAGTACAACCTTTATAGAAAACAGCATGAAGATTTACCAAAGAACTAAAAATGGAATTACTATTCGATTTAGCAATCCCACTACTGGGTATTGACCCAAAGGAAAAGAAATCAATATATCAAAGATAACCACACTTGTATGTTTTGCACAGCCCTATTCACAATAGCAGACATGGAATCAAACTATTTATCAATGGATGAGTGGATAAAGAAAATGTGGTGTATATATATACACAATGGATATTATTCCACCGTGAAAAAGAACAAAATCATGTCTTCTGCAGCAACATTAACGGACTGCAGGTCATTATCTTAAGTGAAAAAAGCCAGGCACAGAAAGTCAAATATCACATGTTCTCACTAATAAGTGGATGCTAAAAAATTTGTACGCATGGATGTAAAGAGTGCAATGATAGGCCAGGCGCGGTGGCTCACGCTTGTAATCCCAGCACTTTGGGAGGCCGAGGTGGGTGGATTACGAGGTCAGGAAATCAAGACCATCCTGGCTAACACGGTGAAACCCCATTTCTACTAAAAATACAAAAAAAAATTAGCCGGGCGTGGTGGTGGGCGTCTGTAGTCCCAGCTACTCGGGAAGCTGAGGCAAGAGAATGGCGTGAACCCAGGAGGAGTAGCTTGCAGTGAGCCGAGATCCTGCCACTGCACTCCAGCCTGGGCAACAGAGCGAGACTTCGTCTCAAAAAAAAAAAAAAAAAAAAAAAGAGTGGAATGATAGACAATAGAGACTCAGAAGGGTGAGGGGTTGGGAGGGAGGTGGATGATGAGAATTCAATTTTTAAAATTCATTCTGGCACATATTTATTTAAGAATTATAAAAATATTGGCTTTCAGCCTGGGTGCAGTGGTTCATGCCTGTAATCCCAGCACTTTGGGAGGCCGAGGGAGGTAGACTGCTTGAGCTCAGGAGTTCTAGGCCAGCCTGTGCAACATGGCGAAACCCCATCTCTACAAAAAAATACAAAAAATTAGCTGGGCATGGTGGCACACACTTGACGTCCCAGCTACTAGGGAGGCTGCAGTGAGCTGAGGTCTCAATACTGCACTTCATGCTGTTTTCTATAACAGCCTGGGTGACAGAGACCCTGACTCAGGAAAAAAAAAAAATCCTTGCTGTATTTGCTTTCCTCTTCCCAACAAACCATTTAAAAAGGATTTTTAAATAATATGAACAGGGGCCAGGTGCAGTGGCTGATGCCTGTAATCCCAACATTTTGGAAGGCTAAGGTGGAAGAATTGCTTGAACCGTGGTCAAGGTTGCACCTACCCACGATTACGCCACTGCACTCCAACCTGGGCAACAGAGCAAGACCCATTCTCAAAAAAAAAAAAAAAAAAAAAAAAGAATAACAGGAATAAGGAGTCAACTGAAAATAGTATGAATGCTATCGTTTATTTGCCAATTATTTTTACCCAGGGCTCCAGATAGTAATGGCTTACTCATCTCTCTTGACACAGGCTTTTTCTCTCCAACTAGATTGGGAAGTGGCTACAGTTTAATAACTGATTCTCCTTAGAAATCAGAGTATTTTTTTCTCTAGGAGGCATAAACTGACTTCCAGTTCAAGATGGCAGGCTGAACAGACCAAGTGAGGTGCTTCACGTTACTCTTTAAAAGCCATCAAAATGACAAACTAGTAAAAAGAAAGATTCACAATAAAGAAGAGAATGAGAGATGCATCAGCAGAAAACCAAATTCAATAAATTTCTAGAAGTTTGAGTGCTGACTGATAACTGAGTTGAAGGAGTCACACCCAAGAAAATTAACAGAAGGAGCTGCAGCAGAAGTAGGAACCAAGATTCCTAATAGAACCCTGAGAAACTCTGCTTACACACATGTATGATGAAGGGTAAGAACGAGCAATGGGCTTGAAAACAGGGAGGTTAATGAAAGGTTTGTGTAAGGACCAGATTCCCATTTCATTCTCACATACCATTCCTACCTACACATGTGAAAACAGGCAAACATGGCCTTAAGGCAAATAATATGAGGCCCTTCTCTAAAGAGACTGAAGGAAATATCCAGGCAAGCGGTAAAATATTGGATCCTGTGCATACACCCCTATTCATTCTGACAATGAGAAGACCACTGGTGTAAAAACTGGCTCTCTACCCACTGGACCTTAAATCATTCCTATCCCTCATTCATGTATCTGAAGGGTCAACCAAGAATCATAAAACATACAGCATAATTAAGAAAGACCAGATGGGCGCGGTGGCTCACGCCTGTAATCCCAGCATTTTGGGAGGCTGAGGCGGCTGGATTGCCTAAGATCAGGAGTTCAAGACCAGCCTGGCCAACATAGTGAAACCCCATCTCTACTAAAAATACAAAAAAATTAGCTGGGTGTGGTGGCGGGCGCTTATAATCCCAGCTACTAGGGAAGCTGAGGCAGGAGAATCACTTGAACCCGGGAGGCGGAGGTTGCAGTGGGCTGAGGTTGTGCCACTGCACTCCAGACTGGGCAACAAGAGTGAAACTCCAACTCAAAAAAAAAAGAAAAGAAAAGAAAAGAAAGACCAAGATAAATGAGAGAACAAAAGAAATTTTATACACCATCTATTTAGTATATCCAGAGCTATTTGAGACAATATAACATCAATAAAAGATTTTAAACAACCAGAGAATTTAAAAAGCACTCTCAGAAAATTTTGAAATGACTAAGTGGCTTAGAAGTGAAAGATTAGAAAATGGAAGGGGAGGGGATGATATGGGAGGTGAGGAAGGAAGAAAGGAAGGAAGCAAATACATGAGTCAAACACAAAAACAAATGAGAAATACAGAGGATGAATTCAAAAAGACAAATATTTAACTTTAACTTGATTTCCAGGGAAAGGGAATACATAAAATAGAGAAACAGAAAAATTATGAAATGAATAATACAAAGGAGGGGTCTATACCATACAGAAGCATTATAGAAGCTTTACACGTGAGGTGTATTTTTGAGTGCATGGAGAGAGAGTGAGATTCTAATGGAGATTGAAGACAGCAGTCGAAACTGAGCTAATGGTACCATATACTTGTGTGGCAGGAATAGTTAATACAATGTTTGAGGATGGCAAGGAGAGTAGTTTAAGTGTATCATTGTGAAGTGAGAGACCAAAAATGAGGTTGTAAAATGCAAGCTAGAGTCATATCACGGAATTTTATTTTATTTTTTTTTAAGAGTAAGGGTCTCACTCTTTGCCCAGGCTGTAGTGCAGTAGCATAATCACAGCTCACTGTAGTCTTGACCTCCTGGACTCAAGCAATCCTCCTGCCTCAGCCTCTCAAGTAGCTAGGACCACAAGTGCACCCTACCATGCTTGGCTACTTTTAAAATTTTTTTGTAGAGACGGAGTCTCACTATGTTGCCAAGACCAGTCTCACTAGGCTGGTCTTGAACTCTGGCTTCAAGCAATCCTCCTGCCTCAGCCTCCCAAAGTGTTGGGATTACAGGCATGAGGTAGCATACTCAGCCAATGGAAACTTTTGATTGACATCTTAAGCACTTTATTATGTCTAACACAAATATTTCTTTCTAAAATTATTTCTCTATTTTCAAATTTCAACTTCTTTATTTGAGATTTAGGGGGTACCTGTGCAGGTCTGTCACATGGGTATACTGCATGACGCTGAGGTTTAGGGTATGATTGATCCCACCACCCAGGTAATGAGCATATTACCCAATAGTTAGTTTTTCAACCCTTGCCCCTCTCCCTCCCCTCCTTCTCTAGTAGTCCCCGGTGTCTATTGTTGCCATATTTATGTCCATAAGAACCCATGTTTAGCTCCTACTTATAAGTGACAACATGCAATATTTGGTTTTCTGCTCCCTCATTAATTTGCTTAGAATAATGGGCTCCAGCTGCAAAAACTGAAAAAACACTCAGAGCCCCAGTTTCCTTGTCTGTAAACTAGGGATAATATATTTCAGGAATACAAAATATCTCATAAGGTTATTGTTGGATCCCAAATAAATGTACAATGCCTAGAACAATGCTCAGTACATTGACTAGTAGTTCAATAAACACTTTAAACTATTTTTATAAGTATCCAGTCTGCTTCCCTATCTGCTGACACAGAGATGGAAGAGGTGGGAGAAGACAAACATGTATGGAGAATCTATTCAGTAACAGGTACTGTGCTGAATGCTTTCACCTGCTATCTCATATACTCAACCCACCCTTACCCCTCACCCACACTTGGCAAATATCTATACATTACTGAGTTTCAGTTTAAACATTACCTCATCTTCAAAGCCTTTATGATATTCTTAAGCAAATACAGGTACTCCTTTTCCAGTGCTCCAATTATGTATGGTATATATCACCATTATAACACATGATACTACATTATAATGTGTCTGTTATCTTTCTTTTTTTTTTTTTTTTTTTTTGAGACAGAGTCTTGCTTTGTCACTCAGGCTGGAGTGCAGCAGCACAATCTTGGCTCACTCCAACCTCTACCACTCAGGCTCAAGGGCTCCTCTCACTTCAGGCTCCCAAGTTGCTGGGACCACAGGTGTGTACCACCACACCCAGCTGTTTTTTTTTTGTTTTTTTGTTTTGATTTTCATTACAGATGGGGTCTTGCCAAGTTGCTCAGGCTGGTCTTGAACTACTGAGCTCAAGCAATCCACCCAACTCAGCCTCGCGAAGGGCTGGGATTACAGGCATGAGCCACCGCGCTCTGCCAATGTGTCTGTTTTCTTATAAAGCTACTAACTTCTTGAAAGGAAAGATCATAATTTTTCATTTACATGCCTAAAACCATCCCTGAAACATAGCAGGTGTTCAGCATATATTTGAAGCAGAGAGGGAGAATCAGGATGGTGGGGAACAAGGGAAAGAGGGAGGGAGGCAGAAAAAAGTAGCTGTGACTTTTTCTCACTTAGATGAGGACATCAAGAGTCCCAAGGTCCTATCTGATGACAGGCAGAACCAGGACTCAAAGCCAGATCATTTGACATAAAAAGCCCTTGTCTATCATAATGCTTAATATAACATTCTCTGGAATATTTCAAATGTCCCTCAACAACATAATCACAATATTAAAGTTTAGAATCTTGAAACTACATGCCACAGGTAGGCCACCCTACTCAACCCATGCTCACCTTTTATCCTTTAATTTTCTGAACTTTTAAAAATTTACTATAAAACTTCTTAGCTGACACAATGAATCATAAGAAATGGGTGCTTTTATGATAGAGTATTTTGTTTTTATCCTTTAATTTTCTGAACTTTTAAAAATTTACTACAAAACTTCTTAGCTGACACAATGAATCACAAGAAATGGGTGCTTTTATGATAGAGTATTTTGTTTTACTGCTCCTCTTTGAAAATAAGAGGTACTTAATAGATGATGGCTGAAGAAATTTTTAAAATCCCTATCAAATCTATACTTCTATGGTATTAATGTTGCACTGTTGAAATAATACTATATTTCAAGTAGATCTTACTTATAAAAATATCTCTGATTTTACATGGAGTGGCAGAATAGTACATCTATGTACACTATCTAATTTAAGGATGTATACTATAAGCCTAGAACACTTTTTCATTATACTCCCCATAGTAAGCTTTGTTTCCTATTTTCCTCTCCATGTGAAATTTTAATAACACAAATATACTGAATATTTACTTATGTACTGTAGCTCTTTGGAAGACTACAAACCACTACAGTATCTGGCATGGTATTGCCTCTACAAGAACTAATTTTCATTTCTTGGTTGTGATATCATGCTCTAAGAATGCATGTCCTCAACCACTTAAAAATGCAAAAATGTGTAACTGAAAAGCCAGTGGATAAACTAAAATGGAATTTTAAAAATATCATATTAACACAGACAGCAGCAGAAAGACATAAAACAGTTACCAAAGAAATGAGATAAACAGAAGAATATCAAAACGATAGATCTAAATCCAACCATATGAACAGTTACATTAGGTGTTAAATTAGGATTTAACACTCCAACGAAAATGCAGAGATTTATCAAATTGATAAAAAAGCAAGACCCGACTCTTTGCCGTCTACATCTACAAAAGAGCCACTTTAACTATAAAGATATATAAAAATAAAAAATCAGAGCACAGAAAAAGACAATCATGTAAACAATAATAAGGCTACAGCTGTGTTATATTACTAAAAGTAGACTTTAAGATAAAGAGTATTATCAAAAATAAAGAAGGACATTTCATAATGGAATTTTTAAAAACTCATTAAGAAGGCATAACAATCATAAATGTGTATGTGCCCAGTAACAGAGCTTTGAGATGCACAAATCAAGAACTGACAGAATTATAAAGAGAATTAGACAAATTCCAAGCATAGCTGGAGACTTTTTTTATAAGCCACCCTCTACAGTTAACAGAACAACTGGGGGAAAAATTCATTTAAGACACACTAACTTTTAAAAAACACCATCAAGCAATTTAACCTATTTGAGATTCATTTGTTCTCTGATCAAAAGAGAAGTAAAATAGAAACCATAATGATAAATAAAAAGATAAATAATTATAAATATTTGTAATTACACAGTATACTTTTAATTGACCTGATAATGCAAAAAAAAAATCACGGGAAATTTAAAAATTTTTAAACCAAATGATAATAAAAAACAACATATCAAAATTTGTGGGATGCAGCTAAAACCATTTATGAAGGAAAATTTAGATTTAAGTACTTTATTTATTTATTTATTTATCTATTTTTAAAAAGGCCAGGTACAGTGGCTTATATCTGTAATCCAACACTCTGGGAAGCCCAGGCAGGAAGACTGCTTGAGGCCAGGTGTTCATGACCCCCTGGGAAACACAGTAAAACCCTGTCGCTATAAAAAGAAATTTAAGGCCAGGTGCAGTGGCTCACGCCTGTAATTCCAGCATTCAGGAAGCTGAGGTGGGCAGATCACCTGAGGTCAGGAGTTCAAGACAAGCCTGGCCAACATGGTGAAACCCCATCTCTACTAAAAATATAACAAAAATTAGCCAGGCGTGGTGGTGGGTGCCTGTAATCCCAGCTACGCAGGAGGCTGAGGCAGAAGAATTGCTTGAACCCGGGAAACGGAGGTTACAGTGAGCCAAGATTGCGCCACTGCACTCCAGCCTGGGCAATAAGAGTGAAACTCCGTCTCAAAAAATAAAATATTTTTTAAATTGGCTAGGCATAGTGGCACATGCCTGTATTCCCAGATACCTGGGAGGCTGAAGTGGGAGGATCACTTGAGCCTAAGAGGTTGAAGCTGTAGTGAGCTGTGATTGTGCCACTGTATTGCAGCCTGGGCCACAGAGTGAGATTCTGTCTTAAAAAAATAATAAAACAGAGAGGTTTCAAAGAACATCATAGGGTTTCAAACTAAGAAGCTACAGAAAGTGCAAAGGAAACTCAAAGTTGGTAGAAGAAAATAATAGGAACATAAATCAATAAAATAGGGTAAAAAACAATAGAGAAAAGTAAAGACAGATAAAAGTCAGTGCTTTCAACAAAATTGATAAACCCTTAGGTAGAAACACAAGAGAAAAATAAAGAACACAAATTATCAAAATCAGGAATCAAAGAGGGCCCGTCACCACCAATCCCACAGACATTAAAAGGAGAGCAAAGAAATATTACAAATAAATGATTGCAATAAAATTGACAATGTAGATCATCTCTAGGAACAAAAGGTCGCTTAAAAAATAGATCAGATTAAGTTGTATAATTTTTTTTATTAAGGCTAACAAAATGTAAATTTTTTTTTTTTTTTTGAGACAGGGTCTCACTGCTATGGCCCAGGCTGAAGTGCAGTGGTGTGACCACAGCTCACTGCAGCCTCAACTTCCTGGTAATCCTCCCACCTCAATCTCTCGAGTAGCTGGGACAACAGGCACATGCCACCACACCGGGCTTATTTTTTGTAGAGACAGGGTTTTGCCATGTTGTCCAGGTTGGTCTCGAACTCCTGGGCTCAAGCAATCCTCCTGCCTCAACCTCCCAAAGTGCTGGGATTATAGGTATGAGCCACTGCACTTGGCCAGAACGTAACTTGATTTTTAAAAGTAAGCAAATGACTTGAACTGATATGCCTACTTAAAAAAAAAGATACATAAATAGAAAATAAGCACATGAGTAATCAACATCATTAGGCTTCAAAAAAAAATGGGAATTAAAACCACAATGCAGCCGGGTGCAGTGGCTCACACCTGTAATCCCAGCAGTTTGGGAGGCAGAGGCAGGCGGATCACCTGAGTTCAGGAGTTCACAACCAGCCTGACCAACATGGAGAAACTCTGTCTCTACTAAAAATACAAAATTAGCCGGGCTTGGTGGTGCACGCCTGTAATCCCAGCTACTCGGGAGGCTGAGGCAGGAGAATCGAACCTGGGAGGTGGAGGTTGCAGTGAGCTGAGATTGCGCCATTGCACCCCAGCCTGGGTAACAAGAGCAAAACTCCGTCTCAAAACACAAACAAACAAAAAAACCACAATGCAATACACAGCCACTAGAATGGCTTAAAAGTTGGTGAGGATGTGTAACTACTAAAATTCTTATATACTGCTGGTAGGAATATAAAATGGTAGATCTACTTTGGAAAAAGTTTGGCAATCTCCTATAGAATTAAACATATACCTGCCCTATGACCCCAGGTTCCATGGCTAGGCTTTTATGCAAGAGAAATTAAAACACATGTTCACACAAAGACTTGTGTGCAAATGTATATTAGGGGTTTATCCATAATAGCCCAAAACTGAAAACAGTGTAGATATCCTTCAATGATAGAACAGATAAACAACTTTTGCTATGTACAATACTACTGAGCAATGAAAAGGAATGAATCACTGGGATACACATCATAATAGTTGTCAAAAACTGAGAAGGGTTTTTGGTTTTACCTGAAGTACAAGCTAGCAAATAAATTAGCTTGCCAAAATTTCACAGAAGGTGGTAGAATGCATGATACTACAGGGTCAGAAACAAACGATAGGGTTTTTGTTTGTTTGTTTGTTTTTGTTTTTTTTTTTGGAGATGGAGTCTTGCTCTGTCACCCAAGCTGGAGTGCAATGGTGTGATCTCAGCTCACTGCAACCTCCACCTCCCGGGTTCAAGCGATTCTCCTGCCTCAACCTCCTGAGTAGCTGGGATTACAGGCACCCGCCACCATGCCCAGCTAATTTTCGTATTTTTTAGTAGAGACAGGGTTTCACCATTTTGGTCAGGCTGGTCTCGAACTCCTGACCTCAGGTGATCCACCTGCCTCAGCCTCCCAAAGTGCTGGGATTACAGGTGTGAGCCACCGCACCCAGCCCAAGGTCGGTTTATTTTATTTTTTGTTTGAGACGGAGTCTTGCTCTGTCACCCAGGCTGAAGTGCAGTGGCGCAATCTCGGCTCACTGCAACCTCTGCCTCCTGGGTTGAAGCAATTCTCCTGCCTCAGCCTCCCGAGTAGCTGGGATTACAGGTGCCTGCCACCACACCCAGCTAATTTTTGTATTTTTAGTAGAGATGGGGTTTCACCATGTTGGCCAGGCCAGTCTCGAACTCCTGACCTTGTGATCTGCCTGCCTCGGCCTCCTAAAGTGCTGGGATTACAGGCATGAGACACCACACCTGG
Organism: Homo sapiens; assembly: GCF_000001405.40. NCBI lineage: Eukaryota > Metazoa > Chordata > Mammalia > Primates > Hominidae > Homo > Homo sapiens. The sequence continues at coordinate 105,011,879 of NC_000006.12, read as the reverse complement.
CCGGCAGTTTATTTGTTTATTTTTATTTTTTTGGAGAGACGGAGTCTCACTCTTTCACCCAGGTTGGAGTGCAATGGCACGATCTCAGCTAACTGCAACCTCCACGTCCCGGGTTTAAGTGATTCTCCTGCCTCAGCCTGCAGCTGGGATCACAGGCGCATGCCACCATGCCCGGCTAATTTTTGTATTTTTAGTAGAGACGGAGTTTCTCCATATTGGCCAGGCTGGTTTTGAACTCCTGACCTCAGGTGATCTGCCTGCCTCGGCCTCCCAAAGGACAGTTTATTTTTTAACAAGAGCAGTTGCTTCAATTCCCACAGGGTGATGTAAAGAAGGTCAGATGAGACCTATACACCCAGAGGGTTGCATTAACAAGAGAGGAACACTGCGGGGCAGGCACAGTGGCTCACGCCTATACTCCTAGCACTTTGGGAAGCTGAGGTAGGCAGATCACTTGGGCCCAGGAGTTAAACACCAACCTGGCAACATGGTGAAATCCCGTCCCTACAAAAAATACAAAAATTAGCCAGGCATTGTGACATGTGTCTGTAGTCCCAACTACTCTAGAGGCTGAAGTGTGAGGATCACCAGAGCCCAGGGAGACAGAGGCTGCAGTGAGCCATGATCATGCCACTGCACTCCAGCTTGGGCAATAGAGTCAGACTCTATCTAAAAAAATAAAAAGGAGGAACACTGATGTTAGTTAGGGAAACTGAATTTTTTGTAATGGGCAGTAAGCATACTGGCCCTTTCCTATGTTCCAAGGCTATTAGCATATTATAAACATTTTGAAAAGATACTCTGGAACAAAGGAGAGTCGGCTTCACTCACAAGAGATGCAGCAATCTGAGTGAGAGATGCAAGGAAAGTTATCTCCCAACAATAGCAAGTAAAAACAGCTTTATAAAAAATGAGTATACTGTAATTCCATTTATTTGAAGTTCTAGAACAGACAAAATTAACTTATAGTAGGAAAAAAATGAAAATAATTGTTGTCTGTGGGTGGATATATGGACTGACTAAAGAGGGACATGAAGGATCTTTCTGGAATGAGATAATGTTCCATGTCTTGAGATGGGTTTGAGTTACAAAAGGGTAGACATGTGTCATAGTTATTGAATGGTGCACTTACAATTTCACTGTGTATCAATTTTACCTCAAAAAAGATAGTGAACTCTAGTTAATGATATGCATGCTGGAAAATTTAGAGATTATATTGATGTCTGCAGCTTCTTTTGAAATGTAGCAAAAAGATAAACAGATGAATCCACAGAGGTATAATAGATGCAGAGTTATATAAAGTATACAAAAACGATAATTGCACAAACTAGATAGTATTGTGCTCCTTGTTGAAATTCTTTCAACCTGTGTTTCAAAATTTTAAAAATATTAGAAAAAATATCTTTGATACAGATACTTTATGAGTGAGAGATATGTTGGTTTGCTTAAATTTAAAGATGAGAAAGTAATGAGTTGATATTGAAACTGTTATCATTCTAACTTTTTTTTTTTTTTTTGAGTCAGGGTCTGGCTCTGTTGCCCAGGCTGGAGTGTAGTAGCATAATCTCAGCTCACTGCAACCTCCACCTCCCAGGCTCAAGTAATCCACCCACCTCAGCCTCATAAGTAGCTGGGACTACAGGTACACACCACCATGTCCTGCTAATTTTTGTGTGTTTTTTTTTTTGTAGACACGGGGTTTCGTCATGTTGCCCAGGCTGCTCTCATACTCCTGGGCTTAAGCGATCTGTCTGCCTGGCCTATTCTTACTGCTATGAAGTATTCAGTAAGAATGGCATGTGCATGGAACTTATATTGGATGCTACTAACAGATTTTAGACAATATTCAAGTGACTGACAATCTGACATTTTATATTGTTCATGTAATTGGAAAATGGGGAGAAGGTAGATGAAGAGACAGAGAGATGAATATGAGGAAATGAATATGAATATGAATGAAACAGAATAAATGAGTATAAGAACTTTGAAGTGAATCTGCGGAATTATTTTCAGACTATACTCTTGGCTGCTGAGCTGATGAATGAATTTGAAAGGCAGCAGGAAAATGATATAGACATCAACAAATGAGAATACAGATATGAAACTAAAGGGAACAACTGATATAGAGACCCTGCTTTCCTTTTTAGCATATTTTCTGAGAAGTTATATTTGATTCTTTCCTCCAAGGCAGTTTCAGCCATCTTCGTGGAGCTGATCTGGCTTTGAGAACAGTGCGCTATTCACCCCTTATTGCAATGACAGTTGATGGGACAGGTAGTATAGAAAATGAATCAACAAAAGTGTGTCTACTTTTCTTTTAGAGCTGAGAAAAATTAGGAACTTCTCAAGCTGTACAGGTAATAGGAAAATTCAAACTTATCTTTGGCTTTACCTAATGTAAAAATAATAACACGCCTCCCCCCCAAAAAACCCCAAAACTTTGGCTTTCCACAATCTCCCCACCATCATCTGAAAGAGTGATTTTGAAACTGTTCTATCTTTAAAACTCTGGAGATCAGGGAAATGCTTCAAAGAGTCTAAAATAATTTATTTGAATTTATATTTTTAAATATATTTTTAAAGTATCTTAAAATCTGTAACATATAACATGCACTATTACACACTCAAAACTAAGTCAATGGAATCCCTAACACAAAACTTGGTACCACCAGGTTCATATATTTTTTTTGGTGCAGATTTCAGAATAGTTTCTACTGGTAGCTTTCAGTGCATATATTTTGATTTAGAATATTACAGCTCTGTATTTCTCAATCATTAAAATCCCTGGCTTGTGCACAGCCATTCACACACACAAAAAAACCATAAAAGAGTAGTTAGTTCTAAAGTACTTGTGATATTAAATGATGTGGTGAGTCCTAGACACAGAATGTAATCCTCAGTTATTGATAAACAAATGAACATATAACATGCCTTATTATAATAACTTGTTAGTTCCTCTTAGTTGAATGTCACTGTATGTGTGAAGTAAAAAATAACTACCCTTAGAGCTAGAAGTGGTTTCCTTTTTGTTTTTAACCAAAATCAGGACATTTAAAAAGAAATGTGTCAAGTCTTTGAACTCAAAGTAAAACAAATTCCATTAAATTAGCAACATTGCATTCTTCAACTGCTTCCGCTATGTAGACAATACACAAAATAAGAAAAATAAAGTTGTTATTCAACAGCAAGCAAACATTATGTTACTTGATATTGGTATGCTCTTTTTTTTTTTTTTTGAGATGTAGTCTCGTTCTGTCGCCCAGGCTGGAGTGCAGTGGCACAATCTCGGCTCACTGCAAACTCCACCTCCCGGGTTCACGCCATTCTCCTGCCTCAGCCTCCCGAGTAGCTGGGACCACAGGCGCCCGCCACCACGCCCAGCTAATTTTTTGTATTTTTAATAGAGACGGGGTTTCACTGTGTTAGCCAGGATGGTCTCGATCTCCTGACCTCGTGATCCGCCCGCCTCGGCCTCCCAAAGTGCTGGGATTACAGACGTGAGCCACCGCGCCCAGCCTGGCATGCTCTTTTATGAAAATAAAAATTGTCTGAACATACATGAGTTTCAAATAATGAAATTTAGCAAAGAGTTTGTATGGTCACTCTCAAGATACAATGTCATTTTCAAACACAGAATGAAAATAATTCCGTTAATTTATTTTTAGTGTACATTTAACAACTTCGTGGTTTGGAAAGCATTTTATTGCTTAAAATAACCTACTATATTGAATATGAGGGGAAAACAGGCATAGACAAGGAAGAAGCTCACAGATTTAGCAATGTGGTGGTGTGATGTTACTATGTCAGCAATAAAATTAAAGTTTGGACACAAGGCACAAAATTACATATGACTGAAATTTTATCTGACAGAGGGCACTAACATACTTGAGGTGTTTTTTAATGACAACATATAACAATTTATGATTTAAAAAGGGGGCTGGGCGTGGTGGCTCACGCCTGTAATACCAACACTTTGCAAGGCCAAGGCAAAAAGGATTGCCTGAGGCCAGGAGTTAGAGACCAGCCTGGGCAACACAGTGAGACCCTTCTCTCTACTTTTTTTAATTTAAAAAATAAATATTAAAAAAGGGGCCAGGCATCTTGGCTCATGCCTATGATCCCAGCACTTCAAGACAAGCCTGGGCAACACAGTGAGACCCCATCTCTACAAAAACAAACAAACAAAAATTTGCCAGGTGTGGTGGTATGTATTTGTAGTCCCAGCTATTCAGGAGGCTAAGGTGGGAGGATCTCTTCAGCCCAGGAATTAAAGGCTGTAGTTAGCTATGATCACATTACTGCACTCCAGCCTGGGCAACAGAGCGAGACACTCTTAAAAAAAAAAAAAGAGATATATTTAAAAATATATATGCTTTATTTTCAACAAAGAAAGAACATTTAAATTAGCAAAGGAATCTGGTCATTTAAAATCTCCAAATTGGACATTTATAATTCAAGAATGCAAGCAGTTATTAAACATTGCCAGTGATGCAACACAGAAACAAAAATGTCCCACGATTCTTTCAAGCATCTGACTCTGTTTCAATAAATTATTTTGAATAATAAATTCAACTGTTTTGAATAATAAATTCAATTGTTTTGAATAATAAATTCAAATTGAAACTGTTTCAATAAATTATTTTGACTCTAAATTATTTATCTTAAACTACTACTGGGGAAAATAGCTCCCAAATGTTTTCATTAACAGTATATTTACTTAACATAGTAATTTTTAACAAGTTGTTAGGGTGAATGGCAATTCTCAAGTATTACAGCCATATAATTTGAAGCTGAAAGAGACCTTAGACATCCCATTCTTGGAAGATATGTATATTATAAAATCCATTAAAATGGCAAGAGCATATATGAATTATAGAACATGTATAAGTAGAATGCCCTTACAGTTGTTACAAATATTCTGGTCACCCTTGTCTTCCGGACAAAAGCAGGCTTGCATTTCCCTACTGTCTTTTACATTAGGCATGGCCATATAATTTACTTTGGCTAATGAAATGTGAGTAAAAATAGCTTAGGTACTTTTGGGAAGAAACTGTAAGAGCTAGCTAGTGCAAAATCTGCTGTATCCCCTTTCCTGCTTCAAAACTTATGGAAGCAAGTTTCAAGATCCATCTTCTGGGTCCTGAAGTGAGAGGACCATGACTACAGGACTCTGCAGACCACACTGAACATGTAGTGCAAGAGAGATAAAACCTTTATTGTGTTACCCCACTGAAAATTTGGGGTCATATGTTACCAAAACATAATCTAGGCTGGGCGCGGTGGCTCACACCTGCAATCCCAACACTTTGGGAGGCCAAGACGGGTGGATCAACTGAGGTCAGGAGTTCGAGACCAGCCTGACCAACATGGTGAAATCCCATCTCTACTAAAAATACAAAAATTGGCCTGGCGTGGTGGCGGGTGCCTGTAGTCCCAGCTACTCAGGAGGCTGAGACAGGAGAATTGCTTGAACCTGGAAGGTGGAGATTGCAGTGAGCTGAGATTGTGCCACAATACTCCAGCCTGGGCAACAAAGCGAGACTCTGTCTCAAAACAAAACAAAACAAAACAAAACAGAACAGAACCATAATCTAGACTATGCTGAGTGGAACAAAAATTGGAACCGAAAAGTGAATTATGGCCACTTGGTGTTATCTTAGGGCTGATAAGTAAAAAATATACTGGTTGGCAATCCATGCTATGTAGTGTTAAAGTGTTTAGTAAAAATGTCATACACCAAAAAGCTAGGTCACTCTTCAAAATGGACAGCCAAGAATCACCAGTCACTTCAACATGAGAGAAAGGAGCTCAAACAAGCAAACAGAAAAAAGGAACATAAAGGAAACAGACACAAAGTCAGAAGAATAAATCTTTAACAACTGCAATTAATATTCCTCAGCTGGATGAAAGATTATAATGCATCTATGAAATGAGTCAGAAGTCTCCTGAAAACAAGAAAGAGCTCTTGAAAATTAAACTATTATTAGAGAAATTTAAAGAATCAACACAAGTGTTAGAAAATTGATTAAATCCTCCAAAAAGAACACAGAAAAAATGAAGAACAATGACAGTGTATTAGTCCATTCTCACACTGCTATAAAGAACTACCTGAGACTGGGTAATTTATGAAGAAAAGATGTTTAATTGACTGACAGTTCCACAGGCTTCACAGGAAGCATGAGTGGGAGGCCTTAAGAAACTTACAGTCATGGCAGATGGCAAAGGGGAAGCAAACACTTTCTTCACATGGCAGCAGCAGAGAGAGAGAGAGAGAGCCAAGGGACGAGTGCCACACACTTTTATTCAATAACCCATCATATCTCAAGAGAACTCACTATCATGAGAACAGCAAGGGAGAAATCAATTTGACATGAGACTTGGGCAGGGACACAAATTGAAACCATATCAAAGAGTAAAAAAGGTTAAAATAAAGCATCCACCAGTAGGAGTTACAGAAAAAGAGAACTAAGAAAGGAGAACACTTTATTGAGAATAGTTCTACGAACAGAAGGATATGAGTTTTCACAATTAAAGGATCAAGTCATAAAAAAATTAATAAAAAACCCTGCAAAATCACTGTGAAACCTCAGAATAACCCAGGGAGGAGGAAAAAAGAAAATCCCTAAAAACTTATTGGAAGAGAACAAAAAAGGTAGAGGGGTCTCACAAAAAGGAATAAGAATCAGAAGGGCACCTGAGTTCTCTACAGCAACAGCGAACACCAGAAGATAAATAAAACGATACTTTGAAAATGTGGAGGGAAAAGTATTTCCATATTAATTCTATACCTGGCCAAACTATCAGACCAATGGAGTCTTTAAAAGTTTGCCTCATTACCCTTTCTATGAAGGAGTTTAAAGATATGTTCAATCAAAACCTGGGAGAATAAATATGATGAAGACACGTGATCTAAAAATGGTAAAGAAGAAAGGAAATTCTCCAAGATGAAACTAAAGGAAAGCATGAGACAATAGCTATCAAGCAGGCCTATATAGAACAACAGAGTCTGGACTGGAGCAGGAGTATGGTAAGCTATAGGAATGATTCTCCAAGGAACAACAACAACAAAAATTGGCAGATGACCTGATATGTTTGAAGCTACTGAGTAGATTTCTAGTTCTGTTAAGATTTTAGAGACATATTAATGATACTTACATGGGAAATTAAGCAAAAGCAAAAAGCAATTATAACCCTAAAAGTTGTTTTTTACAAAAAAAATCACTATATACTGTGATTCTGCCACAAACAATATTTATGTAGCTACAACAAAATAAACATTCAATATTTATCTAACCAGACAATGGGCTAAACTTTCATTTTTGGAAGAATGGTGAAAGAAGTGGTTTAAAACAGCTAAATTCTCATTTTCTGCAGTAAGAAGTTCATGGATAATATCTGAGGGGAAAAAAAAAAGATACAGAAGTATGAATACCAAATACCAAAAGAGACCACTACCCAATTTAAATGTGGTTGTCTGTACAAAAAAGAAAGAGGGAGTGGAGAGGAAAGGCGCATAAAATTGCTTTTCCTTTTTCCTTCTTAGCTGTGATAGTTAATACTGAGTGTCAACTTGATTGGATTCAAGGATGCAAAGTATTGATCCTGGGTGTGTCTGTGAGGGTGTTGCCAAAGGAGATTAACATTTGAGTCAGTGGGCTGGGAAAGGCAGACCCACCCTTAATCTGGGTGGTCACCATCTCATCAGCTGCCAGTGAGGCTAGTATATAATACAGGCAGAAAAATGTGAAAAGACTAGACTGGCCTAGCCTCCCAGCCTTCATCTTTCTCCTGTGCTGGATGCTTCCTGCCTTCGAACATCAGACTCCATGTTCTTCAGTTTTGGGACTCAGACTGGCTTTCCTTGCTCCTCAGCATGCAGACAGCCTATTGTGGGACCTTGTGATTGTGTGATTTAATACTTAATAAACTCCCCTTTATATATCTATATATTTATATCTATCCTATTAGTGTTGTCCCTCTAGAGAACCCTGACAAATATATCAGCCTTGTAGAACAATTGATTTTTTAAAATTATTGCTTTGTAAAATTAAATTGAAAAAACAAAGTCAGGCTGGGTGCAGTGGCTCACGCCTGTAATCCCAGCACTTTGGGAGGCCAAAGTGGATCACTTGAGGTCAGGAGTTTGAGACCAGCCTGGCTAACATATAGTGAAATCCTGTCCCTACTAAAAATACAAAACTTAGCTGGGCATGGTGGCGCACCCCTGTAGTCCCAGCTACTTGGGAAGCTGAGGCAGGAGAATCACTCAAACCAGGGAGGCGGAGGTTGCAGTGAGCCAAGATTGCACCACTGCACTCCAGCCTGGTTGATAGAGCAAGAATCCGTCTCTCAAAAAAAAAGAAAAAAAAATCAGTAAGGCACAGGGAGAGAAAGAGAGAGAGATCTAATCTCACCTCACTGTTTCCTTTGCCACTTCATCCATTTATTCTTCAGTTCTTCGTAAAGTGACCTCTGCCCCAAACTTTCTACCTAGCCAAAATGTTCTAAGGTCATCTTATGACTCCTTGAATACAAATTCAGCAGACTTTCATTCTTTATTACACTTATCAGCTTTACAGCACTGAACATTATGAATCACTCCCTCACTTGCCGTTGGTATCTGGGCCTCTAAGGCCTACTTTTCTCTATCGTAAAATGATTTTGAATAAGGGCAGGATCGTTTTAGCACCTTTATCAGTATCTTTCTCTTTCTATTACCTTTTCCATTCAAAACCATAGGTCTTTTATAAAAGTCGTACCTATGGGAAGAAAATGCTTAGAATTAACTATTTTAACAAAAGGGACTTTAAAAATTATTTCATTTAAACCTACAATTTAGAGATGAAGAAATTAAATCCCAAATTAACCTGCCCGAAGTCTTACAACAAGTTAGTGCCAAAGCTGGGACAAGGTTCCATGTTTCCTGTCTTTAAGGTCTGTGTTCTTTTTCACTATCTATACAATGCTGTTGCCCAGAAGCCCAACTTTGTAGTATTTTACAGCATAACACAGTAAATATTACTGATTAATTTGAACAAAGTTGTCCTCTACTAAAGTCAGCTAACTTGCAAATCTATTCTCACTGTAATATACTGTCAAAGTTACAAGAACATCTGTCCAACTTGAAAAAACAAATAGCTTCTCTTCAATATACTTACACTTTGAAAGCCACAGATGAAGCAATATTGACGACCTCTTCAAAAGATATATGCTCTAAAGGAGTCCTGACCAACAAACTTTACACAATCATGGATATGTTCTATATTTGCTCTGTCCAAGACGGTAGCTACTAACTAGTCATGTGACTACTGCACGCTTAAAATACTGTTCTTGCAACTGTGGAGTCAAATATTTTATTTAATTTTTATTAATTTCAGTTTAAACAGCCGTAGATGGGCATGAATTACCATTTCGGATAATGCAGTCCTAGAGTTATATCACAATCTGAGGTAGTCTGCAAAGGAGGACTGAAAATAGATTCCATCTCTACCCTATTCAACCCTATTAATGTCAAAGAATTATCATAGATAGTGATTATGAGATATCATATTATTTTAAAATGTATTTTCTTCATCCTGAACACCTTCATCTTCCAATCTATGTATCAGAGAGCAGGATCTTATATGCCACAGGAGAAAACCTTTATGGCTAATGCAAAGTTGGGTAAAAATGAACCAACCCTTCTCCTGTAAAAAAAAAAAAAAAAAAAAAAATACCAGAGAATCTCTTCAAGTGCTCAGCCTGCTCCAATGATCACAGAAGGGTCAGGAAGCCCCGGGGGATCTTTCCAGGCATAAAAAACAAGTTCCACAACTCTGCTCTAATTCTTTCACTAAAGTTGCTGGATACATGTAAGTCAATGGCCCAGCTTCACCATAATGCAGTTTTTACATTACTGCAAATTGTTCCAAACAACCAGATGCAATAGAAAAATATGCAATTTTAGACAAGGGCTGCATTAATTGTGCTACATACTTTTTCTCCCCTCCCCACTTTCTAATATTTGAATACTTGTCTAAAAATAAATTCTCTTCCAGCTAGAGATCGAGTTTTTTTGTAATATCAAGAAAAACTTGAAGAAGAGCTCATTTTATTCTTAGGGATATCATAACATCTTCTTAATTAGCTCATCTTTCAGTAATACTGATTTCATTTCTATGATATTTTCATTAGCACATTTCCCCATAACTTCTTTCTCCTTGTCTTCCCTACTCATTTGTTCATCGCAGTTCACTGACCTTGTTAATAATTCTTCCGTTCTCTTACACATGTCCCTTTTCCCTTAGAATCCTGGTAATATTTTTATTCCTGATACTTATCAAACCTAAACAGTATTTTGGAAATGCACTGACTATCTGCTGTAGGAAAAAAGCATATAAATAGCGATTATTAGTCTCCAAATGCACTCTTGATTTCTCCCAGCTTTCTCACCTAGCTCTGAGAAGACCCACAAGGTCGTAGATAAGAAAATATGTAGATAGATGGTCCAATGAAGTTAGTTACCATCATAAATAAGTCAGGCATAAACATCACTGACAGTCATCTTCAGTATAAAAAAGTGTGATTTATGTATATCCCAAGGCCAAATGATTTATATGTGTTCCACAGGCAGAGCATGTAGACACTGTTCATACCCCACATAATTGTGGTAGTCAGCTTGCTTAAAAATATACATAGTAACTCAGGGTCAAAGCTACCACAGACAAAACTTCAAAAATATTTTAATAAGAAAGGGCATCTGATCAACCTAGAAGATCTTCTTGTTTACTATCTGCATATGATGGTAGCAATGAGTGAAGTAACAACAGCTGTTGGTCAAAGGCTTCTAACAAGATGATTTTAAAAAACTGAAAATACAAATAACATAAAATATACACATAAATGTCAATATATATATGTTTTCACATCTGCCATCTATAAACTATTTTTAAAATTTAAAAGAATTAGTTGTCTGAATTGGAGTTCAACGAGGTGAAACTCGGAATACAAAAGTAACATCTAAGGTAGTTTGAATCAGTAGTGTGACCTTGGTCATATTAATTCAGCTTTCTGTACATAACAGTAATTCTGAATTAGGGTTGTTGTAAGAATTAGATGAGTGAATATATGTCAACTGCTTAGAACAACTGGCATATAGTAAATCTTATATTTAGTGATTATTATTCTAGGTTAAGGAAGGATTTTCTATTTTTTTAATTTAATAAATATTTTAAATTTTTATTCTTTATTATTTAAATTATTTTACCTATTAAATTAAAACACTAGTGCAACAGAAATCCAGTTACAACATAGCTCTTTTATATAAAAAGGTCTCTTGAACAATTAGTCTTGACAGGCAAAACTAGTTCTGACCAGACCAGCATTAAAATAGAATTTTGCATGGAAATGTGCCAACATTTTAAAGGTATTTATAAGTGACTGCTATTGCTTTGTTTTCTAATCGTCACAAATACTACCCATTCATTTTAGAAAATATAGACAAGAAAAACAGAAAGTAAAAAACAACTTGAAATCCCACCACACTACTGTGACCATTTTATTTTTTTACCACTCTGTTACCACTATAAAAAACTGTGTGTATAGAAAACTTGCATTTTTTCATACACACAGAGAGATGGAGATATAACTGTTTTTTTAAACATGGCTCCTTCTATACCCAATGTTTCATACTATACTTTTTTCATTTAGGAAGATAACATGCATAGAATTGAACATTTTAAGACCATGGTTTTAGCAGCCAAATGTGCCCCCTCCCCCACCATTTTTGCAGGTAAACTCTTATTTGAAACTTCTGTATTAAAAAAATAGAGACAAAACATTCTGGTTGAAGCAGAATGGAAATGTGCTCAGCTTTCCCCTTCCCTGGTGGTCCTCAAAAGGAGTGCCAAGGAAATCAAAGAACTTCTGAATACAGTTAACAATGTAATCCCAGCACTTTGGGAGGCCGAGGCAGGCGGATCACACCTAAGGTTGGGAGTTCAAGACCTGCTTGACCAACATGGAGAAACCCCGTCTCTAATAAAAACACAAAATTTGCCAGGCATGGTGGCACATGCCTGTAGTCCCAGCTACTCCGGGGGCTGAGGCAGGAGAATCACTTGAACCCGGGAGGCAGAAGTTGTAGTGAGCCGAGATCATGCCAATGCACTCCAGCCTGGGCGACAAGAACGAACTCCGTCTCCAAAAAAAAAGAACTTCCTTTGTTCAGCACCATAAGACAGGGTAAAACAAACAAATAACTTAAATTGGCTACACAATATACATGCCATTACATTGATGTTCATGATTTAATCACCTAATGATGAACATGTTTCTAATTCTTTGTTGTAAGTGCTATAATAAATATCTTTGTGCATATCCATTCTAATTTACATGCTTTTGATATACATTACAAATTATTTCTCTGCAACCTTGCTAGTATTAGGTATTATCATTAAAACAGGCTGGGTTAGGTGGGTTATGCCTGGAATCCCAACATTTTAGGAGACTGAGGTGGGATGACTGCTTGAGGCCAGGAGTTCAAGACCAGCCTGGGAATCATAGCAAGATCCCATCTCTACAAAAAACACAAAATCAGTTGGAAGTGGTGTCAAAGGCCTATAGTCCCAGCTGCTCTGGAGGGTGAGGTAGGAGGATCTCTTGAGCCTTAGAGTTCAAGGTTGCAATGAGCTATGAGCATGCCACTGAACTCTAGCCCCCACCTCAAAAAATAAATAAATAAATAAAATAATAACATTGCCAAACTTTCATCTACTAAATGTTGCTTTCAAATTTCAGTTCTTTAATTTCTATATTTATATCTTCATGAATTTCCATATTCCTGTCCTTTGCCCATTTTCGATAACGATGCTTGTTTTTTCTAATTCTCAAAAGTTCTATATACTGCAAGGATTTTAAATCTTTTGTCTGTACATTATAAATCATTTTCTTACTTTGCAATTGGCCTTTCAATTACTTAAGAAGTTTCTACAAGCTATTTAAGTCTAGTAATAAAAATATAGTTAAAATGACAAAGATCCTTAGTCATGCACAATACCCAAAAAATTACCTGGTTTACCGTACATACATACTTAATTTATACATAATTTACTCACTTTAGTTAAATATTTTAGACCCCAATGTGTAAGTAAACTGTCTTGATGACATTAAAATATATTTGGAATAAAATATTTCACTCATTAAATGGCCATCATTACTTTTATAAATAATAGGTTATCTAAATATAAAAATGACTTTAAATGTCAACATCAGTGAATGATAAATGATACTGGATTCTAAGAGGAAATGAATGGACAAGAAGAAATTAATTTTTTATATAGGCAGTTGTAACATGACACAGCTGGCAAGTACGGAGAGAAAAAAGTAGTTAAATATAAATGGTGAAGGTAAACAAATTTTAAAATCACAAATTATTATTGTCTATATTTTAACAATAAACTATTATACAAAGAATAAAATTAAACCAGCTAATCCTAAATTATTTTGGAATAAGCTCATTGTTAAGTATGTTCTGTTTAACACTGAAAAATCTAAACAAAATGATAATAAAATGTTAACAGATTTACATCCCTCTTTTAGTTGAACTTTATGCTTTATGAATAAAATATAGTCACAGGACTTCAATTACATAATAGGTTAAATTTTACTGCAATGAACTTCAATTATTTCTTGGTTTTAACCTTGTGGGGTCTTATAACATGAAACACTTCTTAAAAACATGGGTCTTGAATTAGGTATGTTTATTTTAATATTCTGTTATTGTATGGTTTGATCAGTATTACACATTTTAGCTAAAACTATTCTAATTATGACTAAAACAAGTTAAATGGATAACAAAAGGACTTAATTTTACAGCATAAAAGGGTTTAAAACAATCTTTCAACAATAAGGCTTTTCCAATAATGAAACCTTTTTTTCCTCAGTTTATTATTGTATATAAATAAGACAGTCTTTTCAAAAGCATGTAGAAGAAGACAAGCTCATCAAAAAGGCACAAGGGAATAAATTAAGGAAAAAAGGCTACTGCTGCTTCCCATGAGTGACACCAACACTAATGGGGATGCTAGGCATATAAACCCGGAAGTGTCAGCCTTAGCTAATGTGCTAAGACTAATTTTTATGGGATATGAACCCGGCCATGTGCAGATTATAAATTCTGATTTCAGTACAAGTATGAGCTTCTTACCATTAGAAATTCTACCATCATTATTCTCTATCATCATCACCAAATGTCAAACCTCTCAACCTGAAAACATTTTATCATTTTAGCAGTCAGGTCTATATTGCAACTTTCAGGCTATCTCATAGAAATAACGTGTGTGTGTGGCGGGGGGGGGCGGGTGTTACATATTTTTGTTGGTACTATATTATATTGGGCAACTGAGAAACTATACATATAGATACAGTTCAATTTCGTCATCATCAAGGTTCAAATTTTTTATTCTTTTCTTCCTTTCACTCCATCTTATCTATATATACGAAATACTATATAAATCACAATATTTATATATCATAACAATAAAATTAAAATTATAACCATGTAAAAATATTTTATGGACAAACTTTTTCTTTTCTTTTTCTTTTCTTTTTTTTTTTTTTTGAGACGGAGTCTCGTTCTGTCGCGCAGGCTGGAGTGCAGTGGCGCGATCTTGGCTCACTGCAACCTCTGCCTCCCGGGTCCACGCCATTCTCCTGCCTCAGCCTCCCGAGTAGCTGGGACTACAGGTGTGTGCCACCATGCCCAGCTAATTTTTTGTATTCTTAGTAGAGATGGGGCTTCACCGTGTTAGCCAGGATGGTCTCGATCTCCTGACCTCATGATCCACCCGCCTTGGCCTCCCAAAGTGCTGGGATTACAGGCATGAACCACTGTGCCCGGCCTTTCTTTTCCTTTTAAAAACCAAGGTTTCACTCTGTCACCCAGGCTGGAGTGCAATAGCTCATTCCTAGCTCACGCAGCCTCAAACTCCTGGGGTGAAGTGATCTTCCTACCTTAGCTTCCCCCAAGTAGCTGGGACCACGGGTGCATGCCCCCTTACCTGGCTTGGACAAACATTTTTAAGAAAAATAAAGTTATTTGAAATAGACTTATAGGCAAGGTAAAATGTTCATTAAACAATTAAGGGGGAGTTTTGTCCACAAACACTATTTTCATCATACCACAACCTGGTTAAGGAATCTACATGAAGGATATTCCAAAGTTTATCAATTAAAACCATATACGACCTGGTTTTTCCTTACTTTACTACCCCTCTACACCTCCTTAATTACTGTCCTTAGTGTATTCCCAATACAGACTTACTAGAGCACTTCCTAACAACACCCAACATTTGTCTCTGCCTCTAAGCCTTTGCTAAATTCTTCTCTTCACTTATCACTGTTATATACTGAGAAAGACAGAAGCAGCCCTTCACAGTCAGGAGCTGTCTTGGCACTATCTGTTAGGCCAAGAGTGTTCTGTTGAACATAAACAATTTCAGAGAACACTAACATCAGACAAGAACATTCTGTGACCTTATCTGAACAGAGACAAAAACAAGAACACTGTCCAAACCAGAAATGATCAAACACTCCCCTCTTCTGGCTAATAAAGTTGTTTAACAATTTCTAGTTTTAGCCCTGCTATATTCCTCTTTCTAGATAAGAATTGTTAAGATACCCAACCACAGAATGACTCCTGCTTTCTGATGGCATCCAGTCCAGAGCAAATCCCTGCTTCCTTAACCCTCTGCAAATCCCCTAACATAAACTCAAGTCCCATAAGTCCTTTTTAACGCCCTCTTATTGAGATGCTACAAGATTCCACATGATGTGCCGTGTCTCACACTGCTGCAAATTATAAACCTGATTTTGTTTGATTCACATGTGTTTCTAGTGGGGTATGTATATATGTGTATTTTATATATATATATATAAAGTATATAATTTTAAAATAATTTTTAAATATTTTTTAAACCTTACTCAGAAGACATAGTTATCTAAGAAGTTTCCCTTCATTATATAAGCCCAAGCTACTTTTAGTTTGGCTTTAGCTATTTTTTTTAGTTTAGTTTATATTTAGTTCATCATGTTTTTACAGTTCTTATTACATGTATTTATTTACATGCTGTTGAGTAAAAATGTTTCCATTAAACGCACATATATATTTGCCTTCTACTTCCGAAACAGAAGATATGCTTCTTGTGGATCTAAACATTTATATCTTTCTATCACTATGAAGAAAGTATGTCACTAATCCCTCTTATTTACTGGTACTTTGCTAAGTTCTATTCCTGGATTCTTTTCTTCCCACTCTACATTTTCTATTTCACTACCACTTAAATCTGATGATTCCCATATCTATAACTAGAACCTAGACTTGAGTTCTCAGACCCACATGAATATATCCAACTGGATGGTCACAGGGCCTGCATACTTACATTTCTAAAACAGATTTTATATCTGGCCCCCCCAAATCTGAGGATCCCTCTCCTTCACTATAATTCTCATGCTTCTGTCTCTCCGATCCACTCAATCAACTCAAGCTAGAAATGTAATAAGTCACTCGTATGCTTGCCTCCTCTCTCACCCTCTACAACCAATAGTCTACCAAATCCTAAGTATACTCTCCTTAAATCTCTAATGTTCCTGTTTGTCTCCAGTGTTACTGCTTTGGTTAAGGCCTCCTTTACCCTTTTCCTAGAAATGCAGTTCTCTTACCTTCCTTAAATGCATCCTCAATACACAGGCTGAGTATCCCTTATCCAAAATGCTTGGAACCAGAAGTGTTTGAGATTTTGGACATTTCTGGGATTTTGAAATATATGCATTATACTTACCAGCTGAGCATCCCTAATCCCCAAAATCCAAAATGCTCCAGTGAGTATTTCCTTTGGACAGTAAGTTGGTGCTCAAAAATTTTTGGATCTTGGAAGATTTTGGATTTGAGATTTTCCAGTTAGGGATAACTCAGTCTGCAATACAGCAAGAACCACTTATAGTGAAAATCTGTTCAAATTACTTGTCTGCTTAAAATCCTTCAAAGGCTCCCCGTGTGAATCAGTTTAAAGCCGACCTTTCAATAAGTTTAAGGCCAACCTTTCCATCCCTCTTACCTCTTCAACCAACTGTCTCACACCGTCCTCTCATCCTTTGCCCACACTTAACTATTTAAAATGTTCTAAAAATGCCTGGCTCTGAATGTAATGCCTTCTCTGTTGAGAATTACTGCCTGACAAAGACCCTTCTCTTACAAGGCTCAAATTAATAATCGACTCTTACATAATATTTTTAACACCCTGACAAATGAAAAACCTCCCCTTTTGGGATTCCAATATACAAATTTTCCCAACAGGATCTATGTCACTTTTATGAACGATTTATAGCTTTCTCTCCTATTCCAAACCACAAGGTCCTTGAAGACAGAGCCCATGACTGAATCCATTTTTAAATCCTAAATAGCTAACACAATGCCTGGCAGAAAACAAAATTGAATGGATAAGTTAAATAACTGATTTGCTAATTCTTAGTAAAACAATTTTATTTTGCCACAGATCTTCACTTAAAAGTATCGTTAAAAGTTAAAAAATGTTTTTATCGGTCAGGCGCGGTGGCTCACGCCTGTAATCCCAGCAATTTGGGAGGCCGAGGCGGGCGGATCACGAGGTCAGGAGATCGAGACCAACCTGGCTAACACAGTGAAATGCCGTCTCTACTAAAAATACAAAAAATTAGCCGGGTGTGGTGGCACACGCCTGTAATCCCAGCTACTTGGAAGGCTGAGGCAGGAGAATGGCATGAACCTGGAAGGCGGAGCTTGCAGTGAGCCGAGATTGCGCCACTGCCCTCCAGCCTGGGCGACAGAAGGAGACTCCGTCTCAAAAATATATATATATATTTTTATCAAGAACTGGTATAGTTTAATGATACCTTTAGAGATAAATATTTTCTGCTCAATACTATTTAAGAAAAAGTAACTTTCTAAGATGATTGGTTTATTGCTTTTGGAATTATTATTTGTACTGACGCTCACAAAATTAAGGGTCTTAACTTTTTTTTTTTTTTTTTTGAGACAATCTCGCTCTGTCATCCAGGCTGGAAGTGCAGTGACTCAATCTCGGCTCACCGCAACCTCCGTCTCCCAGGTTAAAGGGATTCTTGTGCCTCAGCCTCCCAAGTAGCTGGGACTACAGATGCATGCCACCACACCTGGCTAGTTTTTGTATTTTTGTAGAGATAGGGTTTCACCATCTTGGCCAGGCTGGTCTTGAACTCCTGGCCTCGAGCAATCCACCCACCTCGGCCTCCCAAAGTGCTGGGATTACAGGCCTAAGCCACCGCCCCCAGCCAAAGCTCTTAACTTTAAAAGCCTGAAACAAACAAATTAAACAATGGCCATTTATTCAACAATAAAATCTTGTTTTGTTTTGTTTTTTTGAGAAAGGGTCTTGTTCTGCCACCAAGGCTGGAATGCAGTGGTGTGATCACAGCTCACTACAGTCGAAATCCTGAGCTCAAGTGATCTCCTGCCTCAGCCTCCCAAGTAGCTCAGACTACAGGTCCTCTCCACCATGCCCAGCTAATTTTTATTTTTTATTTTGGTAGAAACAGGGTCTTGCTATGTTGCACAGGCTGGTCCTGAACTCGCCTCATGTGATCCTCCCACCTCAGTCTTCCTAAGTGCTGGGATTACATGAGTCACCATGCTGGGCCCCAACAGCAAAACTAGTCTTAATAATATTAATATAAACACATAACTTCAGGGACTTTTAAATGTTAAAGAAAATATTTTAAAGCTTTAAAAATAAGATAAAAAAACAGTTTAATAATCTCAGAGTAAGAAAATAATTCTGAAACAAAATACAAAAGGCAAAAATCATGTATGAAGGTTGATAAATTCAACTATATTAAAAGAAACAACTCAAGAGACACCATGAGATTCTTGGGAGAGTAAAAAAGTAATAATTCAAAGTTGTCTGAAATAAATTGAGGACGCACACTGTAACCTCCAGTGTCACCACTAAAAAAAATTTTGAGAAAAGTAAAAGTATAAAGCTAATAGAGAAGAAAGAGTAGTAAAAAATACTTGATCAGGCCAGACACAATGGCTCATGCCTATAATCTCAGAACTTTGGGAGGCCAAGGTAGGAGGACCACTTGAGCACAGGAGTTCAAAACCAGCCTGGGCACCATAGAGAGATCCCATCTCTACAAAAAAAAATTTTTTTAATTATCCAGATGTGGTGGCACATGACCGTGATCCCAGCTACTCAGCAGGCTGAGGTGGAAGGATCGCTTGAGCCTGGGAAGTTAAGGCTGAAGTGAGCCATGATTATGCCACTGCATTCCAGCCTGGGTGACAGAGTGAGACCCTGTTTAAAAAAAAAACACACACACACACACACACACACACACACAACAGAAACTTAATCCAAAAGCAAGCAAGAAGGAATAATGACAAATAACAGAAAAAACAACTTGAAAACAAATAGCAAGGTTGCAGACCTAAACCAAGTAATATTAATTGTTACATAAGATGTAAATGAGGCCAGGCGCAGTGGCTCATGCCTGTAATCCCAGCACTTTGGGAGGCCAAGGTGGGCGGATCACCTGAGGTCACTGCACTTCCAGCCTGACCAACATGGAAAAACCCTGTCTCTACTAAAAATACAAAATTAGCCAGGTGTGGTGATGCATGCCTGTAATCCCAGCTACTTGGGAGGCTGAGGCAGGAGAATCACTTGAACCCAAAGGCGGAGGTTACGGTGAGCCGAGATCGCATGAACTCCAACCTGGGCAACAAGAGCAAAACTCCATCTCAAAAAAAAAAAACAAGATGTGAACAGATTAAAGACTCCAATTAAAAGACTAAAATTCTCCCTCCCCCTCCCCCTCCCTCTTTCCACGGTCTCCCTCTGATGCCGAGCCAAAGCTGGACTGTACTGCTGCCATCTCCGCTCACTGCAACCTCCCTGCCTGATTCTCCTGCCTCAGCCTGCGAGTGCCTGCGATTGCAGGCGCACGCCGCCACCCCGACTGTTTTCGTATTTTTTTGGTGGAGACGGGGTTTCGCTGTGTTGGCCGGGCTGGTCTCCAGCTCCTAACCGCGAGTGATCTGCCAGCCTCGGCCTCCTGGGGTGCCGGGATTGCAGACGGAGTCTCGTTCACTCAGTGCTCAATGTTGCCCAGGCTGGAGTGCAGTGGCGTGATCTCGGCTCGCTACAACCTCCACCTCCCAGCCGCCTGCCTTGGCCTCCCAAAGTGCCGAGATTGCAGCCTCTGCCCGGCCACCACCCCATCTGGGAAGTGAGGAGCGTCTCTGCCCGGCCGCCCATCTTCTGGGATGTGAGGAGGCCCTCTGCCCGGCTGCCCAGTCTGGGAAGTGAGGAGCGCCTCTTCCCGGCCGCCATCCCGTCTAGGAAGTGAGGAGCGTCTCTGCCCAGCCGCCCATCGTCTGAGATGTGGGGATCACCTCTGCCCCGCCGCCCCGTCTGGGATGTGAGGAGCGCCTCTGCCCGGCCGCGACCCCGTCTGGGAGGTGAGGAGCGTCTCTGCCCGGCCGCCCACTCTGAGAGGTGAGGAGCCCCTCCGCGCGGCAGCCGCCCCGTCCGAGAAGTGAGGCGCCCCTCCACCCGGCAGCCACCCCGTCCGGGAGGGAGGCAGGGGGCAGCCCCCGCCCGGCCAGCCACCCCGTCTGGGAGGGAGGTGGGGGGCGTCTCCGCCTGGCCGCCGCCCTGTCCGGGAGGTGGGGGGGCGCCTCTGCCCGGCCGCCCCTTCTGGGAAGTGAGGAGCCCCTCTGCCCGCCGCCACCCCGTCTGGGAGGTGTACCCAACAGCTCATTGAGAACGGGCCATGATGACGATGGCAGTTTTGTCGAATAGAAAACGGGGAAATGTGGGGAAAAGATAGAGAAATCAGATTGTTGCTGTGTCTGTGTAGAAAGAAGGAGACATAGGAGACTCCATTTTGTTCTGTACTAAGAAAAATTATTCTGCCTTGGGATGCTGTTAATCTATGACCTTACCCCCAACCCGGTGCTCTCTGAAACATGTGCTGTGTCCACTCAGGGTTAAATGGATTAAGGGCGGTGCAAGATGCGCTTTGTTAAACAGATGCTTGAAGGCAGCATGCTCGTTAAGAGTCATCACCACTCCCTAATCTCAAGTACCCAGGGACACAAACACTGCAGAAGGCGCAGGGTCCTCTGCCTAGGAAAACCAGAGACCTTTGTTCACTTGTTTATCTGCTGACCTTCCCTCCACTATTGTCCTATGACCCTGCCAAATCCCCCTCTGCGAGAAACACCCAAGAATGATCAATAAAAAAAAAAAAATAAAAAATAAAAAACAAGACTAAAATTTTCAAAATAAATAATGAAGACTAATATATACGACATTTACAAGAGGCACACTAAACATAAGGTAACAGAAAAGTTAAATTCAAAAGGATAATAAAATTATACCAGGTGAAACACTCATCCAAAGACAGCCAGTATAAACCATATTATTATCAGATTCTCTTAGACAGAAAAAGCAAACAAAAAAATCAGTAAGGATATAGATTTGAATATGACTAACTAGCTTAACCTAATAAATATATGTAAAACGCTATGCCTGCAGAACTGCAGAATATACATTCTTTTCAAATGCACATACTATGACCACATTCTGAGCCACATACTAGATCTTAACAAATCCTGAAAGGATTAAAATAATACAGAATATATTATCTAATCATTATGGAATTAAATGTGGCTCAATTACAGAAAAGTAACTAGGAAAATTCCAAATATTTAGAAATTCAGCAACATACTTTCAAAATAGCCCATGAGCCAAAGAAGAAATCACAATGAAAATTAAAATGTATTTTTCACTGAATGGTAATGAAAACACAACATATCAATCTATGAGAAATGTGGTTAAAGTAGTCTCCGATGGAAATGAATAGCTTTAAATGCATTTACAGAAAAGAAGCGTTTAAAATCAATAACCTAAAATTTCATTTCACTGGCTGGGCATGGTGGCTCATGCTTGTAGTAATCCTAGCACTTTGGGAAGCTGAGGCAGGTGGATCACTTGAGGCCAGGAGTTCGTAACCAGCCAGGCCAACATGGTGAAATTCCATCTCTACTAAAAATACAAAAATTAGCCAGACATGGTGGCGCAGGGCCTGTAATCCCAGCTACTCAGGCTGAGGCATGAGAATTGCTTGAGACTGCGAGGCAGAGGCTGCAGCGAGCCTAGATCATGCCACTGCACTCTAGCCTGGGCGACACAGTGAGACTCTGTCTCAAAAAAATGCAAAAAAAAAAAAAAAAAAAAAAAAACCCAAGTAAAATAAAAATAAAGTTTCAGACAGCTAAGAAAGCACAAATTAGTGGGACCAGGCATGGTGGCTCACGCCTGTAATCCCAGCACTTTGGGAGGCCAAGGTGGGCGGACTGCTTGAGGCCAAGAGATTGAGACTAGCCTGGTCAACATGGCACAACCCTGGCTCTACTAAAATTACAAAAATTAGTCAGCCATGGTGGTGCACACCTATAATCAATCCCAGCTTCTTGGGAAGCTGAAGCAGGAGAATCACTTCAACCAAGAGGTGGAGGTTGCAGTAAGCCGAGATTGCATCACTGCCCTACTCTGACAGAGAGATACTCTGTCTCAAAAAAGCAAAAATAAAAAAAGAACAAATTAATCACCAGGAAATTGGGTGGAAGGAAATACTCAAGAGCAGAAATCAAGAAATAGAAAGCAGAAATAAAATACAGAAAAAAAGAATCAACAAAATCGAAGATAAAATAAATATATCCCTAGCAAGATTAATCAAGACAGAGAAAACACAAATTTCCAATATAAGGACAGAAGGCAGGAACACGACTGCAGATCATATAGAAAGTATGAAGAAAATGTGAGGCTATTATGGACTCTTTAATGGTGACAGCCTTGAAAATTTATATGAAATACACAAATTCCCTGAAAAACACAACTTGCAAAGGTTGACATGGGAAGAAAAGAAAATCTAGGTAGTGGCTGGGCACAGTGGATCACGCCTGTAATCCCAGCACTTTGGGAGGCCAAGGCAGGTGGATCACCTGAGGTCAGGAGTTTGAGAACAGCCTGGCCAACATGGGGAAACTCCATCTCTACTAAAAATACAAAAAAATTAGCCGGACATGGTGGCAGCACCTGTAAGCTCAACTACTCGCAAAGCGGAGGCGGAGGCAGGAGAATCACTTGAACCTGGGAGGCGGAGGTTGCAGTGAGTTGAGATGGTGCCATTGCACTCCAGCCTGGGTGACAGAGTAGACTCTGTCTCAGAAAAAAAAAAAAAAAAAAATCTAGGTAGTCTTCCTATATGTAGTTTAAAAATCAAATCAATAGTTTAAAACCTTTCTACAAAGAAAAACTACAGGCCAAGTGGCTGCACTGGTAGACTCTTCCAAACGTTTAAGGTAAAAAAAAAAAAAAAATACAAATCTTTCAAAAACTCTTCCAAGGAATAGAAAAAAGATGAAAGGCTTCTCAACAAATCTTATAAATCAGGCTTTATATCTGGATAAAAACACAATTTACCACATTAACAGAATAAAGCCAAGTACCGTAAGGTCATCTCCATCCATGCAGAAAAGGCATTTGATAAAACATTTGTTCATAATAAAAACTATCAGCAAACTAGGAATGAAAGAGAATTGCCATAATTTGACATATTTATAAAAACTCTGTAGCTAGTATCATGCTTAATGATGAGTTATTAAACATTTTCCCCGAGTTGCGAGCAAGAGAAAGATGCCCACTATCATCACTTCTAGTCAACAAGCTAGTGAATCAAAAAAGAAAATTTAAAAAAATAGAAGAATATTGATGGCCGGGAACAGTGGCTCATGCCTGTAATCCCAGCACTTTGGGAAGCCGAGGTAGGCAGATCACTTGAGGTCAGGAGTTCAAGATCAGCCTGGCCAACATGGTGAAACCCCATCTCTACTAAAAATACAAAAATTAGCCAAGCGTGGTGGTGGGCACCTGTAATCCCAGCTACTCGGAAGGCTGGGGCAGGAGATCACTTGAACCCAGGAGGTGGAGGTGGCAGTGAGCCAAGATCGCACCATTGCACTCCACCCTGGGGGACAGAGCAAGAGTCCATCTAAAAGAAAAAAGACGAGTATTGAGATGGGAAAACAAGAAATAAAATTATTATTATTTGAAAATGACATGACTGTATACACAGATCAATTTTAAATCTACAGGAAAAAGAGGTAAAGTATTTATAATAATTTATAAAATGATTGGGTGCAGTGGCTCACACCTGTAATCCCAGTACTTTGAGAGGCCAAGGCAGGAGAACTGCTTGAGCCCAGGAGTTCAATGCCAGCCTGGGAACAAAGAGAAATAAAAAAATTTGGCTGGGCATAGCGGTGTGAGCCTGTAGTCCCAGCTACTAAGGAGGCTGAGGCGGCAGGACCCACTGAGCCCAAGAGTTTGAGGTTGCACCACTGCATTCCAGCCTGAGTGATTGAGCAAGACTCTGTCTCCCCATCCCCACCAGAAATAAGTGCAAAAACCATGTGAATCAATAAGAAAATTTAGCAAGGTTGCAAGATGCAAGGGCGATATTAAAAAATCAATTATTCTTATGTAGAGTAAAAAACAAGTGGAAAATAAAATGTAAAAAAATACTATTTAACAAGAGCATCAAAAAAATCAAATATATAGGAATAATCTAATTAAAGATTTACAAGACCTCTGTACTAAAAACCAAAAACATCTCTCAGAGAAATTAATGAAGCTTTAAATAAATAAAAGGACAAACATGTTCATGGATTTGTCAAAGTCAAAATAAAAATGTAGAGATGAGTCTCTAAACTTAATGTTTTACTTGGGAAGAAAGAATTGCAGTTCAGGGTATACATGCTTTGGTATGTCTGAAAAACAAAGAGAAGATGAGATGATTTTTAAAAAAAGAAATGTTAGGTATTGCTCTTTGAGAAAGTTCGTTGACCCTAGTAAGTGTGTGGGGAGCTGGCAAGCTCGGATTGGTGAGTTGTAAATGAGGGTAGTAGGCAAAATTAGTCCTAGAGTTGCAGCAAATTATTTCAGAACCTAAAGGTAAAACTGGTTTTGGATTGCAACAAGCAGTTTCAACTGTCAGGCTTGCAGAGAATTACATTCTTGGAGCAATGTTTTGTATTCTGAGTGCTTTTTCCCCTGGTTTCTCAACTCTATTTTAGTTGGGTATGACAAGAATGACCAATTCTTACGACTAGCTGTCACAAATTGAGCACCTCAATATGAAGATGTCATTTCTCCCCTAAAATGAACCACAAATGTAAAGCATTCACAATCAAAACCCCCACAGAGACTTTTTTTTTTTTTTTTTGGTAGAAATGAACAAGCTGACTAATTTGTAAGGAGAAGAAAAGGACCTAAAATAAAGAGACAATATGGGAAAAAAATGAGATTGGAGAACTTAAAACTACCAGATGCTGTCTTACTATAAAGTAACAATAATTGGGAATCTAATGCCAGAGCAAGGATAGATAAAAAGGCCAATGAATTAGCAGACCCACTGTATTAGTCTGTTCTTGCACTGCTATAAACAAATAACCTGAAACTAGGTAATTTATACAGAAAAGATGTTTAATTGGCTCATGGTTCCTCGGGCTGTACAGGAAGCATAGCTGGGGAGGCCTCAGGAAACTTACAATCATGGCAGAAGGTGAAGGAGAAGCAGGCACATCTTACATGGCTAGAGCACGAGGAAGAGAGCAAAGGGGGAAGTGCTACACACTTTTAAACAACCAGGTCTCATGAGAACTCACCCACTATCACAAGAACAGCAAGTAGAAAATCGGCCCCCATATCCAATCCACTAGGCCCCTCCCCCAACACTGCAGATTACAATTCAAACATGAGATTTGGGCAGGGACACAAATCCAAACCATATCACCCACACATATGCAATCACCTGATTTATGACAAAGGTTCCAGTGTAATTCACTGGAAAGACGATCATATTTTAAATCTAGGGTATTGGGTCAACTGAATACTCATAAGACAAAACAAATAAACCTTGACATCTACTTGACTAGCTGCTCAAAAATTAACTGTATATGGACCATAGATGTAAATGTAAAGCTAAACCTGTAAAATGTGTGGAAGAAAACACAGCAAAATGTCTTCATGACCATGAGGTAGACAAAGATGTCTTAAACACGACATAAGAACACTACCTGTAAAAGAAAATATATAATATGACATATAATATAAAATATAAATTGGACTTACTCAAAATTTAAAACTATTCTGTTCATCCAAAGAAACTATGAAGAAGGTAAAAAAGGCAAGTCACATATTGAGAAGATATTTGCTGAACAAATATATAAAAACTGTATCATATCAAGATATGTACTATCAAGAATATATAAAGAACTCATACAAATCAATAAAAAAGAACAATCAATTGAAGTATAGGCAAAACACACTTAAACAGGAATTCGAACAAACACACCTTGTTAAGTTCCCCCAGTTTACTATATTTAGGTCATATCCCTTTGTACTGTCATGTTTTTCATTGACTTTCCACTCCTCATCAAACCTAGTATTAAAAACACTCAGGCTTAACAGTTGCTTCAGGTCTTAATTTTCCTATGAATGCTTCTGTGTCACATAAAGCTCATATTAAATAAATGTGTATGCTTTTCTTTTGTTAATCTCTCATTTGTTAGTCCAACTTACAAGCTCCAGCCTGAGAACCTGGAAGAGTAAGACAAAAATATTTTTGTTCCCTCCCCTACAGTTTGTCACTGTGCATTTTTTCTCAAATCCACATTCAGTGATTTCACACTGGTAGCTTAAAATTGGCCATGGTGGAAGTATTTATTACCATGGAAATTCGGAAATGCTACAAATCAGGGCTTTATTTGTTTTCTTAATTGTCTAGACACCTAGGAAAGTAATGGAGAAAATGTTAATAATGCAGATAAAATTTAACAGTGTGTCATATCTATAGCACTTATGTTGTAAATAGCACAAAAATTTAGGAAATATTCCTACAGTATTCAAAAACTGTTATCTAATTCGGCAAAGAAGTCACTCATAACATTCTCAATGAATAAAGTTCTGACCTATATCTTTGTCTTTGTTGTTTTACTTTTGTGTTACTAACTAGTATCAAAAAATATTACTTAACATACATTTAAAAATTATACTACTTTGGGAGGCCAAGGTGAGAGGACTGTTTGAGGCCAGGTGTTCAAGACCAGCCTGGTCAACATAATGAGACCCTGACTCTACAAAAACTAAAAAATAATTAGCTGGGCATGGTGGTGCACAAACTACTTGGGAGACTCAGGTGGGAGGATCGCTTGGGCCCAGGAGTTGGAGACCGCAGTGAGCCACTGCACCTCAGGCTGGGTGACACAGTGAGACCCTGTCTCAACAAAAAAAAAAAGAAAAAAGAAAGAAATATACTCATTCATCAACTGCAAGCATAGTTTGGCTAGAGATACAAGAGTTGAGGTAAAGCCAACAAAAGCATTCCAAGAGAATCAATTGGCTACACAGAATTTATAATGACTACTGTATGTTTATTATTTATACATTGTGTGCTGTTTTTTAATCAGTAAAATGTGTAACACATACACACAATTATTCCTCTGGAGAAAAAGCTAATTATTAAACATTTACCAAATCACCTATTTTTTTAAACGCATACTGGGCTACAAATAAAAATTAAAATCACTTATTCAGAGAAAGCTCTTATATATCTAACTCACTTTTCTTTCTACTTGTAGAATAAAAGGTGTGGTCTTCAGTAGGAAGAATTTTAGGCAGCTGTTACTATAGCCACATTTTCAATTTGGCAGCTGGATACTCTAGTACAATGGTAGTGTGGTATGAGGATTGGTGCCGGCAAGTAAATTGTTCGTGACTTACTTGTCATAGTCCATAAGTACATAAATTGAAAATAAGTATTTGTACACAAGGATTTGGTCTGTAGCCGATCAGAAAAAAATTTAAAACACCTGGAGAATCGACCAGGCATGGTGGCTCACACCTGTAATTCCAGCACTTTGGGAGGCTGAGGTGAGTGGATCACTTGAGGTCAGGAGTTTGAGACCAGCCTGGCCAACATGGTGAAACCCCATCTCTATTAAAAATACAAAATTAGCCAGGAATGGTAGTACATGCCTGTAATCCCAGCAACTTGGGAGGCTGAGGCAGGAGAATCACTTGAAACTGGGAGGTGGAGGTTGCAGCGAGCCGAGATAGCACCATTGCACTCCAGCCTAGGCAATAAGAGCGAAACTCCGTCTCCAAAACAAAAACAAAAACAAAACCTGGAGAATCACTGGGCTAGCACACCAAGATTTGTCCAAGATTTGACAGTAAAACTGATAATAATCTGTTAAGTAACCAAGGTAGCTGCCTTCAAGCAAATTTTGCTGCTACTCAAGGAAAGGCAGCCAGGTGCTACTGGCCAAAGGCCATTCCCAGACGCTACTAGTAGAAGAGGAATGTCTATCATTTATCATTGTTTTACTTTCTTTTTTTCCTCACAGAACCTACCCCAACCAAATTTCAGCTTCCCTACACCATCACCACTACCACCATCTACCAATTTTGAGCTATCTTCACTCTCCTTTTAAGATACCCAGATGCATGGTTGATGCTTTCTAAATATTCACCTGCTGTTAGCTCATCTGTTATGCCATTTTTATATAAGCCATCCCCTTGCCAGCTTTTCTGGATGCCTTGAATATTATTTATGTCTCTGGCTTTGTAAAATAAAAATATACAATTGAAAATGTTTAGAAAGACCAGGTGTTATGGCCAGCACTTTGGAAGGTCGAAGAAGGAAGATCACTTGAGGCCAGCAGTTCAAAACCAGCCTGGGAAACAGAATAAGACCCTGTCTCTACCAAAAAAAAATAAAAGAAAAAAATTAGCCAGGCATGGTAGTGTACACCTGTAGTCCTAGCTACATGAGAGGCTGAGGTGGGAAGATCACTTGAGCTCATGAGCTTGAGGTTACAGCAAGCTATGATCACAACACTGTACTTTGGCCTGGACAGCAGAGCAAGATCCTGTCTCTAAAATAAATAAATAAATAAAAATGTTTAGAAGATGTTTAAAAGATCTTTAAATTTTTTAACTTAATAATTATGAGATAAACAGTAAAGGTGTTAATATTGATTAATATACAGATTACCGTCAGCCAATAATTTCCCAGTACTTGTCTCCATGCAACCACATATGGCCCATGAGATGATTTCTCAAAATGGGAGGGGTGGTCAATGTTCACCAAGTATGGAAAATACATCTTATCCTCCTATCATGGAGATTGACAGCATACTATAGTATGATAAAGCACTGGTGTGTCATATATTAAATAAAAGGATTGAATTTTGTATAGCCAAGAATTTCCCAAACTTATTTAACAACTTTTGCTTTTCTTTCAGGAATTTACAATAACTAATGTACCACACAACTATTTATTTGTAAAACATGCTTTTGGGGCATTAACTGTCATTCAATCTCATCACTGAATTGGAGGCCATTCAAATTAATAATTAATTCCTCTTTTTTTTTTTTTTGAGATGAAGTCTTGCTGTATCGCCCAAGCTGGAGTGCAATGGCGCAATCTCAGATCACCGCAACCTCTGCCTCCCTGGTTCAAGCGATTCTCCTGCCTTAGCTTCCCGAGTAGCTGGGACTACAGGTGTATGCCATCACGCCCAGCAAGTTTTTTATACTTTTAGTAGAGACAGGGTTTCACCGTGTTAGCCAGGATGGTCTCAATCTCCTGACCTGATGATCCGCCCACCTCAGCCTCCCAAAGTGTTGGGATTACAGGTGTGAGCCACTGCGCCCAAGCCCTAATTCCTTCTTCTTATGATAATCCTGCTGTATCTATCATCACTATGCACAAACACCTTTATGTAATGCCTAAAGGATATTCTAAATATAATCCGTCTGACCAGTTTGTAAATAGTCTTATCACATAACCTTATTTGTAGGCTAACTTGGCTGCTCAAACTTGTTCATGACCTAATGACTAGTTCTTTTAACTCTATTTAATTCTAAGATGCTTGCCATATTTAAAGAAATGTACCTATAAAAAGAGCAACAAGTAACTTTCCCTTGTTTTTCTGGGTATCTTGGGATTGACATTAAAATTGCTTTCTCTTCCTTTTTGCTGGGAAGTCAGCAAGAGCTAGGAAATAGATACACTCATTTTTGATTTGCAGTCACTGTCTTTTGAATAGGAAGCGGCTTTACAAATCGCACTGTACAAGTATACACATTAGCTGGAATTGCTGAGGATATATGAATTACAAGAAATTAGCTCTTTACTCTCCAGTACAAATGAGATAACTGAAAGCCAAGAATTAAAAGTTTATAATAAAAGGGCAAAGTGATAGGAACAGAAGAAGAGCAGATGTAAGCAGCCATGGGTAAATGAGTGAAATTTCCGGTTAGTTTTCTTTTGTTAAGAGCAGTTTCTCCTGTAAAGAAAAACTGATTAATCAGAGAACTGACAAGGATCACAGGAACCTGGTCAATTTCTGTTAGCAGCCAGCTCCATGTGTTAAAGACTTTAAAGCAGAAAGACATGGATTATCAATTCCCTACAGAAGCTTTTAACACCAGAAAGAGTGAGTGGGGGTAGAAGTTGAGAAAAAGGGGAGGAAAAAAAACCCAAGTGGTGAGAGAAGCAAATATGAGTAGAATGATTTTAAAATAGCAGTGTTTTCAGAAGGATGGGAAATGATAGCACACACAAAAAAACAAAGGCTAAGGTGAATTATAATGTGAAAAGCTATGTCCTGCATCCTTTATTACACTGTATTTTTACTAGCTAAAATAAAATGTTCCAGAACCTGTTGTGGTGTCCAACCTTAGTTCTGCTTGGCATTATCTTAAGAATGGGCTAAACACCCAGAAGACAAGAGAGAAAATATATAGCATGAAAATATATGGCAGAATATGACAGCATTTGGCATATATTTTAATATATAGTAGCAATAAAATTACTAACAGATTAGAAATGGGCTGTTTCTAGTGGCTCTGCTGATAAAATGAGTAGAACAGCCAACAATTTATATGGACATGATATGAAAAGGTTAATTCAGTCTGTGTGCAGAGGAAGTATCCTAGAGTATAGAGAAGATACATGAGTGACCACCAATAAATATGTGGATAAGCAGATAATGAATCCATCACTGTAGAAAAAGGAACATTTACAAAAGGCATAAAGGCTGTTTCCTTTCATATTGAATGAAACTTCTTCCTTTAACATCAGTTTTAAATATCTGTAACACACGACAGACCCTGAAGTACATTTGCCATTTAAATTCAGGTCAGCATATGACCTTCTAATCATAAAAGGAATATATACATTTGTGCACCTCTGAAACCAATCTGGGATGATAAAGTTGAGAGGGCCTCCTGGGAACTCCATGTCACACAAAATTTCAAGATCAAAAGACTGTTAACACCTACGTTTTAACACCTGCATCATTTTTGCTACCAAAATGCTTTTCCTCATTACTCTGTGGTCAGACAAAACATCTTCCTTTCTCAAAGAGATAAAAACTCATCTCTCTCAACTGCAAATGACACTAAAAGGTACTTAATATACCATGGTTACACATATAGATTCATCAAAACTTGTATAAACCTATAAATTTTAATAACATAATTACTTTATGCATTTTATTAAATTTAGGAAAACTACATTACGGAATTTTAAATACATTTTAGGAGTGAAACTGATCTCTAAGTATAGTTAACAGAATTGAATTCCATATTAGCTAGGAGAAAAAATATTAACTTGCCTATTAAAGAGGACCTATTAATAAATTTGTATGCAAAAGCACATCAATCCTTTCTATGTTTCTCATGTTAAGATAAAGACATATTGCTATAATTCTGTTGTTTTTCTTCTCAAACCAGGTGACAAAATTTCCCAAAGCACTTAAATTTTTAAAAATAATAAATGGCTTACATGTTCAGACTAATGAAATTATGAGTGGACCAAAGTAAGAAATAATACAGAATATCAGGTTTACTCATTTTTAAAGATGTATACTTCATCTACAAATATAATTCAGAATCTGTCACTCAAATGCATAGTGTTTCTCTACATTTTCTTTTTTTCAATTTCCAAATTTATATATCTGGTTTTCTGTATAATTTGATTAATTTTAAACTCATAATTTGACAAAGAAAATTGAAAGTTAATTTCCCTATTTGTATAAAAAGTCTTAAGCTAATAGCATAAATACCTGATTCAGAAACAGCTTTTTTTTTTTTAACAAGAAAAAGAAAATATACCAAAGGGTAAGCAGTGGTTATCTCTGAGTGATAGAATAATGGGTGATTTTAAAAATCATCTTTGGCTGGGCACGGTGTCTCACACGTGTAATCCAGCACTTTGGGAGGCCAAGGCGGGTGGATGACTTGAGGTCAGGAAGTTCGAGACCAGCCTGGCCAACATGGTGAAACCCCGTCTCTACTAAAAATACAAAAATTAGCCGGGCGTGGTGGCGCACACCTGTAATCAGCTACTCGGGAGGCTGAGGCAGGAGAACCACTTGAGCCTGGGAGGCGGAGGTTGCAGTGAGCCAAGACTGAACCACTGCATTCCAGCCTGGGCGACAGAGTGAGATTCTGTATAAAAAAAAAAAAATTAAATTAAAAAATAAAAATAAAAATCATCTTTATATTCTTTTTCTCCAAATATCCTATAATCACATGTACTACATTTATAATCAGAACAATACAATATATAACACCCTAAAAACAAAAATGCTAAAATGTTTCATATTTAGTCCATATTGTTACTTAAATCTTAAATGACTTACTGGTAGTTTCTTATGTCTAATGTTTAGGCCCTCTAAAAACTAGTAACTAAAAACTAATAACTGCTCCCTTCAGACTGAATCGGACAACTTATGTCTCACTCTCCTAGACTTACAATAGTTGCCAGAAGAATGCCATGCTTAGACTAAAAAGTCTAAGCCCCTTATATTGGGGGTGGAGCCACTTTTCCCAGTGGCATATGGGGATGGAGGTAAATACATGAATAAAATAACCCAGGGTTTTGATCAGAAGGAGGAAGGGAAGAAATGGATGTTGGATATACAACCAACAGTGTTCACTACAAAAATCTTTGGTGCCAATTTCTGTCTTTTATTCCATTAAATTTCACCTTGTGTGGTTAGTCCCACTTACCTGCTACAGGGATTAAGATTTGGCTCCATCACCCCTTTTATCGGACTCACTCTGCATTATAGCAATTGTAGCATATCTACATTTTTTTAATTAAAAAAAAAAAAGACAGGATACCTTTATACTCCTTTCAGACACTGGACCAGACACTTAAAATACATGAACACTAATCCTCACAATCCTATAAAATTAGTGTTACTGATTTCTATAAATAAGAAATCTGAGTTAAGGTATTCAAGCAGCTGATAAGCATTAGAGTTGGGATTCAAACACAGGTCTCTCCCATTTCAAGGCCTCTACTAGTTACATTTAATACCATCTCATCTTCCCAATGAGACTGCCACTTCAAAATATTTATTAAACATCCAGTTCAATGTTTTTTGGACTTAAAAAGAGAATTAGACAGATAGATCCTTCCCCTCCAATGAACTGAAGATACTTTAGACTTAGCGATAAACTATAGTAACAAATAGAATACGGAAGCCACCATCTTTTCCACTGAAAAAAAGAAGGTGGGGGGCAGTAGCCCAAAACTATCTTGGATTTCTACAGTTTACCGTATATAACTCAATGCATAATGAATATGTAAGAGTGGTATTAGAAGGGGATGGAATATAGGTTAAACACTTGGTTTTCTTAAACAAGAAGAGTTAATACATATTCTCTTGGACACTGAATACAGTTTATGTTCTAGAAGCCCTATGTTTTTACCCAATGGAAGACAGGAAAAAAATTCCTAATGTATTATGCTTTTTTTCATTGTTCAAGAAATGTTCTGCAGTAGGAATTATAAGAAAGGCATACACCTGGTCGGGTGCGGTGGCTCACGCCTGTAATCCTAGCATTTTGGGAGGCCAAGGCGGGGGTATCATGAGGTCAGGAGTTCAAGACCAGCCTGGCTAATATAGTGAAACTCCATCTCTACTAAAAATACAAAAATTAGCCAGGCATGGTGGCGCACGCCTGTACTCCCAGCCACTTGGGAGGCTGAGGCAGGAGAATCACTTGAACCTGGGAGGTGGAGGTTGCAGTGATCCAAGATCACACTATTGCACTCCAGCCTGGCTGCCAGAGTGATCGTCTGTCTCAACAACAACAACAACAAAAAGAGAAAGGCATACACCTAAGTACTGTCAGAATACCAAACTTAATAAAACAATTTCCACATAGAGTTTACAATTCAGTAGGAGAAAAAAGGAAACAAAATAATAATAGAAGACGGTCTATGATAAATGACCCATTATTTATAAAGGGTTTTGAAGTTTATAAGAAGGAAGTAAGCAATTCTGGCTAGAAAGCCCTTGGAGAAAGAAGGTTCTGACTTTGGGGCGAGGTTCTGAAGGATGACAATGATTTCCAAAAGTGAATGTAGGAAGGAATTTGGGAGAAAATACTGTTTGTGCAAAGGAAAAGTGGCAAAGAAGTGAAGGGTGTGTTTACAAAATGGCAGGTCCTATTTGACAAAGCAAACAATTTAAATAGGAAATATGAGAAGAAAGATTTTAAAAGTGGATTCACTCAGGAGGCTGAGGTGAGAGCATCACTTGAGTCTCGGAGTACAAGATTATACATAGTGAGCTATGATCATGTCACTGTACTTCAACCTGAAAGAGCAAGACCCTGCCTCAAAAAAAAAATAAAAATAAGGAGTAGATTCAATCAGATCATGAAGAGCTTAAATATCTGGCTATGATGTCTAAATTTTATTCAGAAAACAAATAGGCAATGCAACTTCTGAGAGAGTGAATACTTTAAATAAATTCACCAATAGCAATGTTCAGGGTAAGGGCTAACAAAAAGTATAAGCCTGCCTGCTACAAGCTGGTCCCAACCTTGGCTTGAGCTTCATCTTCCACCTCCTTCCCTTTTGCCCTTCACCCATCAAGTCCCCATGCTCTAACCAGACATTGGCCTTTCCAAGAGGCTCTTTAACCTCTCCACATCTTTGCTCATTTACAATATGAAATGCCTTCTCAGGCTGACAATTTCCTAGGTATTTCCAAGGCCCATCTCAAATGGACTCTTCCTTTGTAAAAGCCTTCCCTGCAACTAAAAGCATTGGCAATTGCTACCACAATGCTGTTATCTTGGCACTTTACACTCTGTGGGAACTGTTGGTCACATGCATACACATGACTATAAGCTCTTAAAGACAGAGACTGGATATTACTGATCTTTGTCATCTTAACACTTTGTAAAGCTAATGTTCAATAAAGTTCCATTGTCCTTCCTGCCACAAAGCCTCTGCCCACAACTCCTTCTTCTGTTAGAATGCTCTTTTCCTTGTTTATTTGCCTACTCGTTCTTCATTCTTCATCACAAATCTACTGCCCCAAAGAAGCCTTTCTCACCCTGAGACTAGGTCAGGCCCCTCACCATTATACATGCAAAGCACCATGTACCTTGTCTTTATCATACTAATTTTACTTTCATTTGTGTGATGAAATTGTCTGATCCCTTAACTAGTCTTTAAGCTCCACGAGGTCAGAAACCCTCTCTGCTTTTTGCTCATACCTGAATCTTTAGCACCTAGCACAAAGTAAGTAATTAATATAAAATTAAAACAGCTACATGTGGCTAGAACCCAGAGATTTAAGAGCACTACCCTGGGGTGACACTGCTGGCTCAACTGTGTGAAATTAGGCAATCAGCCATTCTATGATCATTTTCTTCATCAGGACATAGCACACTAGGCTAGGCACAGTGGCTCATGCCTGTAATCTCAGCACTTTGGGAGGCCAAGGTGGGGTAATCGGATTGCTTGAGCTTAGGAGTTTGAGACCAGCCTGGACGACGTGGTGAAACCCCAACTCTACAAAAAAAAAAAAAAAAGAAGAAGAAGAAGAAAAGAATTAGCTGAGCATGGTGGCACGCACCTGTAGTCCCAGCTATGCAAGAGGCTGAGGTGGGAGGTTCACCTGAGCCTGGGGAGGATGAGGCTGCAGTGAGCCATGATCACACCACACCACTGCACTCCAGCCTGGGAGACAGAACAAGGTCTTGCGTCCAAAAAAAAAGAAAAAAAAAGCACAGTACTTGGCACATGCAAGCACTCTGTAAAAGTTACACTATCATCACTGTGTTGTCACTATATCAAAATTTTCATAATTACTACAATACTGTCTATAGTTGAACAGTTCTCTCAGGTGGCAGAACAGAAGGCTTGGTAGAGAGAAGTTAAACCAGTGGCTTTGGATAATCAGTTAAGAAAAAATGGTGGCAAACTGGGGTCTATGCCTAGGGATTGGTAGTAGTGGGGATTTAGTGTTAGCAAGCATTTAAAACAAAATATAAATGTTAATGTATAAAACTATAAAATAACTACAAATGTTAATCTGCAGAGGAATTAACAGAGAGGAACAAATGATTATAATCTAACTGTATTTTTAGATATTATTAAATATTAGATATTCTATTATAGAATAATCAAAGATAAGATATTACTCTATCTTTCGACAGAATGATCAATTTTTATATTACCTTAAATCTACTTAGCTATTATGTTTGTATTTATCCTTTAAACAAATAATATTCAAAAATTTCAAAATATCCAGGGCTGGGCGCGGTGGCTCACGCCTGTAATCTCAGCACTTTGGGAGGCCGAAGTGGGCGGATCACCTGACGTCAGGAGTTCAAGACCAGCCTGGCCAACATGGTGAAACCCCATGTCTACTAAAAATACAAAAATTATCCAGGTGTGGTGGCAGGTGCCTGTAATCCCAGCTACTTGGGAGGCTGAGGCAGGAGAACAACTTGAACCTGGGAGGCAGAGGTTGCAATGAACAGAGATCGTGCCACTGCACTCCAGCCTGGGCAACAGAGTGAGACTCCATCTCAAAAAATAATAATAATAATAATAATAATTCAAAATATCCTTGATTCTTTCCATAAAACGTAAGTTTTATGCAATATTTATTTTTTTTATCTTTCATATATAGATTGTGAGCTGTGAGATTCATAACCATACTGTGTAAGTTTTTCAAACTAGTCAACAAGTATAAGAGACTTAAATTCATGTGGAGCTAAGTAAAGAGATTACTCTTTAAGATGAAGAAAAGCCAAAAGAAATACCTATACCGCAATGGAAGAAACTTGGGCCCTTCAGGGAGTTTACACTACGGTTTATAGAGTTTATTCCACTGAATCTGAATTTTCTTTTTTTCTTTTTCTTTTTTTTTTTTTTTTGAGATGGAGTCTTGCTGTGTCGCCCAAGCTGGAGTGCAGTGGCATGATATTGGCTCACTGCAACCTCCGCCTCCCAGGTTCAAGCGATTCTTCTGCCTCAGCCTCCCAAGTAGCAGGGACTACAGGCACATGCCACCACACCCAGCTAATTTTTGTATTTTTAGCAGAGACGGGGTTTCACCATATTGGCCAGGCTTGTCTTGAACTCCTGACATGGTGATCTGCCCACCTCGACCTCCCAAAGTGCTAGGATTACGGGTGTGAGCCACTGTACCCAACCTGAATCTGCATTTTTTTACTCATCTTGGAAAACAACCAACTTCACAAACAGTCTTTCTAAGGAAGTAAACAATTAAAACATTTCTACATCTATTGATATCAATTTATTTTCATTATTAGCCTATTTTATGAGTCAGTCTGTGGTTTTAAAAGCCTTCTTCTAGGTAAAAATATGCTAGAAACACAAACACTATCTTCAGATGACAAATGATGTACAGTAAAACATTTCATATATACTTTCTTTGGAAATTCAGGTAATATCAATAAGTGTGTAAAAATGTTAAAACTACTTAACCATCCAATGCTCTTGTTAAGAACTCTTTCTTCTTCAATGTTGGAAAAATCATTAGCCTTTAGAAAAGGTATAAAAGAATTAACCAAACCTAAGTAAAGACAGAAATGTGGTAAAGAACTGGATTTGACTTTGCTAATACCTAAAGAGACAGAACAGACATTTTTTCATGACAGCAATAGCCAGCTGTATCAAAAATAAATTCTAAAGTAATTAGAATAAATTCTAAAACTCTATTATCTGTTATTAACTTCTTCTCAACTACACTCTTCGTCAAGGAACGACACTTCTGCTAAAGACAGACACTTTCTGCTGAGTGATTGCTTTTTCCTGGTATCTCTAAAGCCAGGGCCTCAGGCTTCCTTCCCAAAGGGGAGTGGGGGGAGGAGGAAAAAAGAGAGGAGAAGGAGACTAAAGAAAGAGACGACTTAAGGCTGTAATAATTCCTGGTGGCAGATCAAATTATAATGATAGGGCAGGGAATAATTTGGGGACAGCATAAAGCACCAATAATTTGGGTAATTTCATTATTCAATTTACACTGAAAATTGAACAATATAAATCAAAATAATGAATTCTATTCTATTAAATTCTCACTCTGAAAACATTATCCCATGTTTTAAGAGATTTTGGAATATATATTCAACATTAAATATCAAAGGAAATTCTGAATTACTATTAGGAATATTAATGGCTTAACAGTGACCAGACATTTTTAAAACTAAAGACAGAGAGGATGGAAAAGTGGTCACCATCTAACAAGACAATTTCCCAAACATCATTTGTTAAGACTTTTTTTTTTTTTTTGAGACAGAGTGTCACTCTATCCCCCAGGCTGGAGTGCAGTGGCACAATCTCGGCTCGCTGCAACCTCTGACTCCCAGGTTCAAGCGATTCTCACACCTCAGCCTCACGAACAGCTGGGATTACAGGCGCCTGCCACCACACCTGGCTAATTTTTATATTTTTAGTAGAGACAGCGTTTTGCCATGTTGGCCAGGCAGGTCTCGAACTCCTGACCTCAGGTGATCCGCCCACCTCAGCCTCCTAAAGTGCTGGGATTACAGGCATGAGCCACCATACCCGGCCTCATTTGTTAAGATTTTTAAATATCATATCCTTTTAAATATAATATCCAAAAAAATAAATACTGAACTCTAAAAAATATGTACTGAAACAGATATCTGCATCTATCTGGCTGTTCACATATTTCAACTATTTGAAAATTTATTTATTTAGTATTAATT
Organism: Homo sapiens; assembly: GCF_000001405.40. Lineage (NCBI taxonomy): Eukaryota > Metazoa > Chordata > Mammalia > Primates > Hominidae > Homo > Homo sapiens. The sequence continues at coordinate 104,972,670 of NC_000006.12, read as the reverse complement.
TTATTTTAGGAGAAAGAAAATCTAGAAATCAAATAATTCATTAAACTTATACTTACAATAACCCACACAAAAACAAGTAGCAACACATCTAATGGTGTTACCCACCCCAGCAAACTAACCTTGTATTTTTGACAAAACATGAAGATGCTTAAAACCTGAATACATTCATTTTAAAAACTACTTTTCTCCACAGAAGTTAAAGAAAAATTCTGAAGGAAGAAAACAGGTATAAAGGGGAAAACCCTCAACTTTTCCCCTTTCACTTCCAAATGTTGTTATTAATTAATACCAAATTTTGTTATGTATTTTTTTTTAAAGCCTGGGTCACACAAAAAAACCAAGGTAGCACTTCCTTAAAAACAGGCTTTTGTTTATCTTTTTATTTTAAAACTCACAGTAGGCCAGGCAAGGTGGCTCACACCTGTAATCCCAGCACTTTGGGAGGCCAAGGTGGGTGGATTACCTGAGGTCAGGCATTCAAGGCCAGCCTGGCCAACATGGTGAAATCCCGTCTCTACTAAAAAATACAAAAATCAGCCAGGTGTGGTGGCGTGCACCTGTAGTCCCAGATACTCAGGAGGCTGAGGCATGAGAATCACTTGAACCCAGGAGGTGGAGGCTGCAGTGAGCCGAGACTGCGCCACTGCACTACAGCCTGGGAGACAGAGCAAGACCCTATCTCAAATAAATAAATAAATAAATAACAGTAATACTAGGATACAAATAATTTCAACAATAAATGTTAGTACTAGATTTAAATGCTTAATAATAGTTGTTAGTGTTTTCTATATCCCTTGCTAATCAAAATGACAAATGAGGGAGGATCATGGATTTGAAAGATTTACTATCCTAAACCTTTCCAAAAAGCAAAATTTAAGTGACAACTTAAGCATTAATTAAAATATCAATAAAAATTTAAATTTAACTAAGTAAACAGAAGTTGAAACATTCAATTGTAGAGGACATAAAAAAATAAATCAATTGCTGTAAATTTTAATGTCAATGAAAGCATGGGCCAATACATTAATTAGACTTCATACCTGATCCTAGTTCTTGAAAGGTTGATAACCCACTGTTATCAACAGAAACTTAAGTAGCCTTTCTATGTAGCTCAACAAATCTTGTATTTAACTTTTAAAGGTAAAATAAACTTACCACAAAACACTACTAAAAATGAAAAGATGACTTTGTTTCTCTCATTATTCATCCTAAAAGCAGACCAAAAGATTGTATTTATAAATCTAGTTAACTTAAAAGTTATCTTGGACTGATAGGAAGATCATATGACCAAATATCATTGTCTTTTAAGATCTATAAGACTGAAAATTTAAGGAAGAATTTTTTATGTAAACAATAAATACTCATTGAAATAAAATATTTTAAACAAAAATGCCTATTAGATTTTAAAATGTAATTACTTATGTCAAGGGTGGTCTATACAGTATTCTTAAAAGTCTTTTAAAAGTACTTATTTGCACGAAAATATGTGCCAATAAATGACATATTTTAAAAATCAATGGCAGAGAAGGTACTATTTTTGAAACTATTGTTTCAAATATTTTAGTTATTATTTGGACACAGTTATACTGTTCACTAAAATAGAATTTAAACATTTGAATACAAGTAGCTTAAGAACAAATTAAAATAACTTTAAAGATCAAATATTTAATGGTTCACAATAAACTAGAGCATCATGACTAAGTCACCAAATTAGGAATAAGCATCAAACACTTATCCTCATTTAACTTTATTAAAAAAAGTATATAAATATCACAGGAGGTGGATAGGATTTTCTTCCAAACAGCTAGCTACCCTATGCTAACTGTTAAGAGGTGGGTCAGAAGAGCAAGAAGAAATACATCTAATTAATTCCCTCTTGTATTTTACATGTAGTCCTATAACGTATTTCTTTCTTTTATTCTGCCAGCAATTATTTCTTGCTAATGTCTCCCAACCACCACCCCTACTTTCTCTACACTATGAGTTCTGAGAAACAAGTTACAGTTTAGAAACCTCAAATGATGCTAAAAGATAACTGATAGAAAAATAAGTAACTAAGAAACTACCACGGTAGATTAAAAGGTCCGTATTATTTTAAAAATCTATTTAGTAGTAATTTTTTTCAGCTTCCTAAAAAACAACAGCATGGATGTAATGTAAGGTAAAGCATATGAAATTAAACAAGACACATATCGATAAATATTTTCTCAAAGTTTTATGCTTCATTCTGAGATTCACTGCAATCCCATCTGTGACTAACTAAAAGGGAAGTCACATGACTTAAGCAATAAAAGAGAAAGTTTTCTTTCCTTTCCTTTCTACAGGAAGAAACAAAAGCTTGGTATTAGCTATCCAAAGCTAATGGGTGGGGCCTGAAAGCCAAAAAACTATACTGAATTAAGATTAATCTTAATAGGGGCCCATTTTAGCCTTCTGAAAACATCAAAAATGCGAAGACTGCAGCCAGAACTTAAATAAATTAACAAGCATTTAGTGTAAATTAGGTTTTACAACTAGAAAATTCTTCAGGGACAAAATTCAGTATATAAACAATATTGAAGCTTTTACTGAGGTAAAATCACCTAACTGTGATTCCTTATACAGATACACACACCATCCCCCACTGGCACACAGATACTTCACAAGCCTCTTGAATAAATAGGAGTATCCAATGTCCAGTGTGATGGGTGGTCCTGAGGTCCTGAACCAGAGCTGTATACTTTTAAAGGATGCTAAGATAAGAACAAAGTGTTTTGTGTTTGTTTAAACCTGGGTCTAGATGTAGTCTTTGCACCATTATTGGAACAGCTCATAAACTTGTGCTGTTATTAATTCAGGGAAGCTTTAAATGTCTGCATAAATGCTAGAAATTAAGCACATCAAAATAAAATACTTTAGGGCTTTTTATAGCTCTCATTCAAATTAATTCAATTTACTTAAAAGTAATCATTACATTTCAAAAGTGGTAAATCTCAACCTAAGAGAAAAACATCATATGACCACACTTTCACTACCAACAGGATACCATACCATATAAAATAACATGTATTTAAAGTATATACATCAAATAAGCTGCAATGCAATGAAAAACTTCTAAAGATAACAAAATTAACCCATGGAGAGTCCCAATAAAGAATCAACTATTGTGCCCATTTTTATACTGCAGGCTTTATACATGTCCAATATAAAGAGTTGTTTGTGGGGCTTTTTTTTGTTGTTGTTGTTGTTTTGTTTTGTTTCCCAGAGCAGAAAGCAGGCTTTACAAGTGGCCCAAGGAAAAGATAAGCAATGAATAGTTCTGACCCTGGCTTCTGTGGCTTGATCAAGTGGGCCTGCAACCTGAGCCAAAGGGCACAAATTCCTCACCATTCAAAATTCTTCAATGGCATGGGGGAGGAAACAGTGAAAGGGGCAAACATGCAAATCCAAGTGTCCTTAGACTGAGTATTCAACGAAAATTTTTAATTAGAGAGCTAAAAAATGAGGCCAATAATGTGACTAAATTTCTAACGCACAGTTTAATCAACCCCTGAAAGGAGCTTTTTTTCTTGTGAAAATTGAAAAAGATGCACTTAAAAAAAAATGTATGGCTTACACTGAGCTGTGTTACGTATATGTCTCTAATATCATTTAATCTATTTAAAGGAGCTGCTGAAAAGTGTTACTAACTTGGAAGGATCAGTGCTTATATATCATAAGCAAAATCATGTATTATTTAAATCACACAGGAAGAAAAGTTGATATAATTCATTCCAAGCTTTACAATATGTTAATGATCTATTAAATATTTAAAGCAATAGCTATAACCTATGTTGCCAGACTTTTGTTACAGACTGAACTAAGGATAAAGACAATTCATTTGAATGGAAGAAAAAAAAATAAGCTAAGTTAAAATAATTTAAGCATTATAGGATCTGGGAACATTCTATTCACTATCTCTAATGGCCTAGGAAATTGCTTACAAAAGCTTAAGGAAGAAAATGATCACCAACAAATCTTGGCCAAAGTAAAAGTAATTTGAAATTTATATGGAGTCTTTATATCCTATAACACCATAAAACGAAATAGCAATCTTAAGAGTTATTACCAAATTAAACTTACAAGATTTAAAAAGTCTAATTTTAAGATTAACAAAAGTAATAAATTTAAGTGGGTTTTGATTTTTTAAAGTGGGCTGTTATGACAAAGATTTAAAGCAGCTGGTAGAAATTAAGTATATTACTAATAGCACAATAAATTAATGATTCTAAGCACTGGCAAAAACAGTTTCTCCACATGAAATGTGAAAAACATATTTTAATACTACTGAGAAATCATTGCATTTAGCTCAAAATTTTAAAACTAATATTTGCTTTTTATCTTAGCTATCCCAAAATTAAATTGGTAGAGACTGTATAATTAGACTTCGTAAAAGGAAGTGAATACAACACAGGAAAAATGATCCTTTGCTTTTATGCCTTATATGCAAACAATGAGAATTAACTGGAAAAAACTTATTTTAAATTTTGCTAAAATGAAAATACCAAACCAACAGTGTTTCACTGAGTACATGATCAATAAAAATTAGTTGGCTTTACTGAACCACGATTTTTATAATCATTTTTTAAAAGTTAATACTTTTCTATGACATTAAGCCATCTTGTTGATTTACATTTCCAAAAATGTTTATACAAGCTGAGCAAAGTGGCTCACATCTGTAATCCCAGCACTTAAGGAGGCAGAGGCAGGAGGATTACCTGAAGCCAGGAGTTCTAAACCAGCCTGGTCAACAAGGCAAGATTCTGTCTCTACAAAAAATTTTAAAAATTAGCCAGGCGCAGTGGCATGTGCCAGGCATGGTGGTGCACGCCTGTAGTCCCAGCTACTCAGAAGGCTCAGGTTGGATAATTGCTTGAGCCAGGAGTTCGAAGTTGCAGTGAGCTATAATCCCACCACTGCACGCCAGCCTGGGTGACTGAGGAAGACCCTGTTTCTAAATAATAATAATAATAATAATTAATTAAATAAAAATTTTAAAAATGTTTATACAAAAACTGAGTTGGGACAGAAATTCAATAAATTTCTTTCTTTCTTTTTTTTTTTTTTTTTTTTTTTGAGAGGGAGTTTCACTCTTGTCGCCTGGAGTGCAATGGCATGATCTCGGTTCTCTGCAACCTCCACCTCCCGGGTTCAAGTGATTCTCCTGCCTCAGCCTTCCAAATAGGTGGGATTACAAGCATGTGCCACCAGGCCTGTCTAATTTTTTGTATTTTTAGGAGAGACAGGGTTTTACCATGTTGGCCAGGCTGGTCTCAAATTCCTGACCTCAAGTGATCCACCCCCCTCAGCCTCCCAAAGTGCTGGGATTACAGGCATGAGCCACCATGCCCAGCCAATTCAATAAATTTCTGACAAGACATATGAACATCAATAAGCCTAATTATGCCCTTTAAGTAAGTGGTGAGTTTACAGCACATGAGAAAATACCATAATGATAAATGAAATTAATATTATATTGAAGATTAGTAAAATGCATATGAATTAATCTCATTAACAAGCACAGACACTACTAGGATAAAGGTTAATTTCCAGGTAGAAAAAAAAACTAAAGAAAACCAGAGTGAGGCCAGGCATGGTGATTCACGCCTGTAAATCTCTGTAACTTTGGCAGGCTGAGGTGGGAGGATCCCTTGAGCCCAGGAGTTCAAGACCAGCCTGGGCAACATGGGGAGACCCCGTCTCTACAAATATAATAAAAAATATCAGCCAGAGGTTGGGCGCGGTGGCTCACGCCTGTAATCCCAGCACTTTGGGAGGCCGAAGTGGGCGGATCACAACGTCAGGAGATTGAGACCATCCTGGCTAACTCGGTGAAACCCCATCTCTACTAAAAATACAAAAAATTAGCCGGGCGTGGTGGCGAGTGCCTGTAGTCACAGCTACTCTGGAGGCTGAGGCAGGAGAATGGCGTGAACCTGGGAGGCGGAGCTTGCAGTGAGCCGATACAGCACCACTGCACTCCAGCCTGGGCAATGTAGCGAGACTCTGTCTCAAAAAAAAAAAAAAAAAAAATCAGCCGGGCATGGTGATGCACACCTAGAATCCCAGCATCTCAGAAGGCTCAGGTGGGATAATTGCTTGAGTCAGGAGTTTGAGGTTGCAGTGAGCCATGATCCCACCACTGCACTCCAGCCTGAGCAAGAGCAATACTCTGTCTCAAAACAAAAACCAGAAAAACTCTTATAATTAAAATGATTAATAAAAACATAGCTCTTGAAAAAAAGATAAAAACTAAAACCTGAGATTGTTACAGTTTTTAAATTATTTTCATGTGTATTATTTCAATTGACCCTTACCATAACCCTCTAAAATAAAGATGAAAAATATTATTTATCACATTTTACCCATAAGAACACTGAAGCTCCCTGGAAGTGACCAGCCAAAAGTTATAAACCAACCAACTGGCAGAGCCGAAGCCAAACACTCATTCCCATGGTTTTTTTTCTCACAATACCACACTACTTCTCCTTTATAATACTAATTATGTACAACACACATTGAGTCCCTACTATCTGCCAAGTTTGTGTTAGGTGCTTTACATATGTAATAACATGTAATCCTCCTAACAGCCCTATACAAAGTGGGTACTATTTTTGTCCTCCGATTTATAGGCCATTGAGACACTGACAAGGTAACTTACTTCCCTTACAGGTATCTAATAAACTGGGATTTGAATACTGATTTGACCAGAATCTTTATCATTCTATACTATCTTACAAAGATTAAATAATTATTAACCAAAAAATGGTATTAAATTATCACAACAGGCCTATTTAAAACAGTATTTTTTCTTTAGCTTATAATGAATACACATGCATATGTACACAGGTAAAATCTTACACAGGTAAAATCTTATGTTACAACAATTATTAAAACCAAAATATCTGCATAACAAAAATATTTCCAAGCTGCAGTTTACACCCTGATACTTTAAACAATATTCTAGGCCTGGCACTGTTGCTCATGCCTGTAATCCCAGGACTTTGGGAGGCCAAGGCAGGAGGATCACTTGAGCCCAGGAAGTCAAGGCTTCAGTAAGCTATGATCCTGCCACTGCACTCTAGCCTAGGCAACAGAGTGAGACCAGATCTCAAAAAAAATAATAATTTTAGAGACCATCTTGCTCTGTCGTCCAGACTGGAGTGCAATGGAGTGATCTCAGCTCATTGTGGCCTCTGTCTCCTGGGCTCAAGAAGTGATCCTTTTACCTCAGGCTCCCTGATATTTGGGACCACAGGTGCATGCCATCAGGCCTAGCTAATTTTTTTGGTAGGGACGGAGTTTTGCCATGTTACCCAGGCTGGTCTAAAACTCCTGGGCTCAATCTGCCAGCCTCAGCCTCCCAAAGTGCTGGGATTACAGGCATGAGCCACCATGCTCAGCCAAAAGAATTATTTTAAATAACAAAAACAATATTCAATGCCACAAAACTATAATGAAAAGCCTTAACATCAACTGTAATGGAAATTAAACTATTAATATACAACACATTTTGGCCAATTTTAAAGAAAGCACATAAAAGACCAGCTTAATTATCCACCATGAGTATACACCACTGAAAATAACTTATCCATTATTCTTTTGGCAAAGACCAGTTTACATTAGTTTATTTTCTCAACAGACACTTACTAGGCAGTTATATAACATTACCTCTACTCTTCAAAACAACTTTAAAAGTTAGGTATTACTCCAGGTAACAGAAAATTATAGAAAAAATTATAACACTAAATCTATCAATTATTTGTAAATCTTATTTAGAAAATATTTCCAAATTGTCAAATATTTAGATATTGGAAAAGAAGAAGCAATAATCAGACTGTCCTCCAATTTGAGATAAATGATTAGATGTATCCTGATGTATCAAAATGCAACATGGTACTTTCATTACTTGTTTGATAAACTACTCATTAAAAGATCATTTTTAAATGTACCCCACTGACCTGCAATGTACTTTCTTAAACACATTACTGTTATCAACTTTTATGATATTAGAAGATGCTATAATCAATTATTTTAGGGAGGAATATAAATCAGTTGAATTTCTTATGCATTGTATATGGTACAATGCCATCTATTGTAACTATGTATTAAATAAGCTGAACTTCCTGTTACTCAAAACTCAGGGGAAATAGCTCAAAGTATAAAGAACTGATAGTCTTTGATAATGATAAAATATCCCATATTTCATTCCAAATCAAGTCTATAGAATATAACATTTAAGATAACTTTCCAGTTTAATTGATCAGAAGTATCTTCACTTTGTTTAGGTTATTCTCAGTTTAGAAGTAAGAATATAGTACATCAAGCTGGACACAGTGGTGCATGCCTGTAGTCACAGCTATTAGGGAGGCTGAGGAGGGAGTATCTCTTGAGACTAGCTAGGAGTTCCAGGTCAGCCTGGGTAACTTAGTCTCAAAAAAACAAAAACAACACAGTGCATCTTATTTTTAAGTAGCAACTTTTAAGTTAATCACAAACCAAAAGAGCTGCTCGGTTAAAATAGACATAACTATCTGTAATATTTCTAACTATCTCTGAATAGGAAGAATTAAACCAAATCCAAATAATGTTTTGTTGCTGCCTGAAAGCGACAAAAATTACAGTGAAGGACTCAATTTTTAATCTACCAAGGTGAACGCAGATAACAAATAAGCTTTTAATTTCTCATGAAACCTAAGAACTCTAAGATAAGTTAAAGACATGCTTTAAAAGGTTACACTGAATACTTGTAAGTGGTTTGACACTCATATTTTTATTTAAAAAATTATTCTTTGATTTACTGCATTCATTTGTTGTGAATAGTCTTTTAAAATAAAAGAGGAATTGAAAATTAGCGAGAACATGCAACACCAAAGGCTAACACTAATATAAACTATGGACTCTGTGTGATTATGATGTGTCAATGTACATTCATTAATTGAAACAAATGTGCCACTCTTGGTAGGGGATGTTGATAATGGAGGATGCTATGCATTTGAAGGGGCAAGGGTACATGGAAAAATCTATGTATTTTCCTCTTAATTTTGCTGTGAACCTAAAACTGCTCTTTAAAAAGGCAGGAGAAAAATATTTAAGAAGTACACCAATAATCTTTAAAACAGGAGAAAGGCCTACATCTTCAATATGTACCCAATTCACATTTCACATTTAAATTGAATCAGAATGTCTTTGTAGGACTTAAATACATGAAAAAGAGTCTGAGAAATGCACCACCACTTGAAAATCAAAAGTATCTTTAGGGCTACATTAAGAAATCTTATAAAATTTTGTTTTATAATAAATGCCTGGCCAGGAGCGGTGGCTCACGCCTGTAATCCCAGCACTTTGGGAGGCCGAGGTGGGTGGATCATGAGGTCAGGAGATCGAGAGCATCCTGGCTAACACAGTGAAACCCCGTCTCTACTAAAAATACAAAAAATTAGCCGGGCGTGGTGGCGGGCGCCTGTAGTCCCAGCTACTCAGGAGGCTGAAGCAGGAGAATGGCGTGAACCCGGAAGGCGGAGTTGCAGTGAGCAGAGATCGCGCCACTGCACTCCAACCTGGGCGACAGAGCCAGATACTGTCTCAAGAAAAAAATTAAAAATAAAATGCCTTTAAATGTGATGTTATGATTAAACGGCCTTAAAGCACTCAGCTTGAGATTCTCTGAAAATGGTCAACTGGGCAATTCATCTTAAAAATCTGGTAGGTTATAAACCATTTTAAAAATATTAAAATACGTAACTCACTATACAAATGAGCTGCTTATGTTCACATTTTCAAGTTTCCAAGATGTCTAATTTTTTTTAATTGGCATTTTAAGCAGCCCAGAGAATAACAATAATCACACATATTCTTCATGTGAAAAATGATTTTATGCTTAACTATAACAAAACTAAACATGGTTAATTAATTAGCAATGAAATATTACGAAAAGCCCTTAAAAATGAATATACTGAAATAAATTTGTTTTCCTACATTGTATAATTAATTAAATACATAAGAACTCTATATTAGATCAATTGATTGAACTATGTGTAAGAAATTTTTCATATATTTAAGCACTAGTCATCTCTAAATGTTTTCATATCTCATACTGTTAATGCTTTAACTCAGTAACAATAATGATTTTATTTTTTCTATTTCCATTACTCCTTGAGATATTTTTGAAGCAAAGGAACATAAAATATATAAAGCCTTTCTAATGTGGGCATTTGAATTATCCATAAAGATCAAAATCTAATTCAAAAATAAAGACCATAAGAAGAAAACACCAATACTTGTAAGGTAAATGAAGATGAATAAAGGTAAATTATTAATAAATATTTAGGCCTACTGAGTAATGGTAGCTAAATTGCAGTCATTTTGAAATTACTCTTTCTCTTTGAGAAAAAAAGAGATACATACATTATGCATACATTATGAAATAAATGAAATACATTTATGTAAACAATTGTATCATATTTGATGGCAAGGAATGCCAAGTATATATACACCCAATATGTGAAGTATTATTAAGCACATAAGCTGAGGAGAGAGTAATAAGGAGAATGTATTCTACACCTTCCCAGAACAAAATCAAATTCAAATGATCATTTCATCTTATTAGGTAAGATAATGACTTTGGAAATAAATATCAAAATCTATAGAAAAACCTATATAACAAACATCAACAGGTAGTTATTAGGTTAACGTTGCCCTTCTCCAAAAGAGATCTAATATTTAATTACCATTCTATTCCTCTAAAGTACCATCAAATATTTAAGTCTTATTAAAAACTTTTAACATTTCAAAAAACTGCCAGTAACATTTTCCAGGTAATGTAAATGTTATCCTACAATCTAACTGTGATTTTAAAAAACATAAGAAACTGGTAAGAGTATTAATTACTTGCACTTACAAAATAATCATATTCTGATTTATGAAATCACCTTAGTAAAAATTTAGACTTAAAGCCGGGCGCGGTGGCTCACGCCTGTAATCCCAGCACTTTGGGAGGGGGAGGCAGGCAGATCACAAGGTCAGGAGCTCGTGACTAGCCTGGCCAACATAGTGAAACCCCATCTCTACTAAAAATACAAAAAATTAGCTAGGCGTGGTGGCGGGCACCTGTAATCCCAGCTACTCAGGAGGCTGAGGCAGAAGAATCGCTTGAACTCGTGAGGTGGAGGTTGCAGTGAGCCGAGATCTCACCACTGCACTCCAGCCCGGGTGACAGTGTGAGACTCCACCTCAAAAAAAAAATAAAAGAATTTAGACGTAACAAATTTGTATTAACCACGTATATCCTTACTTCATTTGAAACAAATCTGTGTTTGTATTACTCGAGAAATTCTTAAATATATTTAAAAATAAAATCATCAAAATTGTCCTATTTTATTAAACATTTTTTAAAAACTTCAACAGTGAGATATGACAAAATTCACAAATATAATACTTACATATTTTGTTAATTTTTTAAAAATAAAATATTCATTATTGAACTATATCAATGTTTCACAATTAACATGGGTCAGAATATATATTTTCACATCATAAAAATATGATTATTTAAATTACAAATTAACATTAGAAAATCAAATGAAGACTGTCATTTTAAACCATCAATGGTTACATACCATCCTCAAATAGCAGAATCTCACAGCATTTATCAACATGTCTAAAGAGAGACTAAAGAGAGACAAAGTACAGCACCTAGGCATGTGTTTCTTTTTGAGGATTTGGTGACATCACAGGAACTACAAGAAAGTTTGATGGTATTACTGCCAATAAATTTTAAGTAGAGTTATGTAACTATAAATATACATAACTACAAATACACAGCTCAATTTTAAAACACACACATATATATATTCTCTTTATTTTGAAGCAACTGAATATGTTTTGATATGCTGTTACATGCAATCAATATTTTTAAGAGAAAAAGTATCCTAGGTTCCTCAGCATAAATTTTTATGTATTTATTAAGGACACAAATAATTTGTTTTTTATTTCTCCAAATATACATTATTAAAAATGTTTCAGAATACTTCAAAAAAAAAATCCAGTGACACATGTACTTCCAAACACTTCAAAAAAAACTATGTCATATATTTTAAAAATTTTGAGTAGACATAGGTCCAGTTGAACATTTAAAATTCCTAATCACCTATGATACATATCCTTTCACAACAAAATAGTACATAGACATAAAACCTGGTATGTTTTCAAAAATGCTTATAAAACTAAAAAGGCCTCTAAAATAATAATAAAAATGTTTTTTAAAATTCTATGAAATCGTCTTGAATTGCAACCTTATTCCATAAGTGATGCACACATAATACCTGTATCATTTACAACCATCTGTTACTTGTAGTTGCTTAGCTAACATCAGTAGGATTCCTGCCTTCTTCAAAACAATTATTCATACAATTTATATACAATTTATGTATATTACAATATAAGAAACCTCTTTAACTAGGCATCATTTAATACTGTCCTTTTAATATATACATGAACTGTATGTATATACTACTGTATGTAACTGAATATTAAGTCAACTATTTAAAAATCAATGTTTATAGTATAGAAACAGCTATATATTTAAAAAACTTCAGCAGCTACATGTTTTAATTCAGTGAATAGAGGAATGTTTATCAATATATAATCATTAAATAGTATAAACACAAATGTCTTGTTGTTCTAAACATTAACATTGGTTAATAAAATATCTTAACATTTGATGAATATTTTAGAAGGTAAACATAGAAAATCAAATTATAAAAAGGCGTGACCAGACAAAGAAGGGTTATTTTTTTCATTCATCTATAAAACAAATTTATGAGATCATAAAAAACAATTTAACAACCTAAAGAAGGTTCAAAGGTGGAAGAAAGAGCCTGAGAGAAAATGGATTTGTCTATGATTTTTGTCATCCAGTCTTAGAGGGGAAAAAACAGAAAATGTAGCTTCATTTTGCACTATAAAATAGGAAGCATAAAATCCAGTAGTCTGTATGTGGACTTGTATTTGTGTACTTAAACCCTGTTTCAATTCACAGATTATGCTGATCCTTCCACATATAAACAGCCAATAATGATGGCCAGGCCTTCAGGAAAGGAAAACACACACCACACAGCAAGGTCAGGAAGCTACCAAGCACCACAGGACAACAGATCAAAACAGAATGGTTTCATATGTTTCTATTGTTTATATATTTAATTTGAAGATGATATTCCTTAGGGAAGGGGGTATAAATATTACTAGGAACATGCAACACAGTATCAAATATATACTTTTCAAGCAAATATACCAAATATTTCACCCATGTATCTGTCAGTCAATCTGTAGTATTAACAGCCTTTCATTCAATTCTTTTTAACTTAGATTATCATGCCAAAATAAACCTCTTTAGTCGTAAACCTCTTTATTTCTAACTACAGAAAATTTATATTTACCTTTTTTTGAGGAAACAACCGGCTTCCATAAAAGTATCTTTTTTACTATAAAGGGATTAAGCAGTAGAGAGGAGTAAAGGCAGAAGTATTAATTCATTATTTCCTGGGTAAAATTTTGAAAATGGGAAGCAATGAAATTCTGTTTGGTATTAAAACATCTTTAAAAATTACAACACAATACGAGCAAAGGTGGAAATTTACCCCAAGTAGCAGACCAGCACATTTTAAACACACAAGCAAGAGCCGCCTCTGGCCACATGTTTTTTTGAGTTCAGTCTCTTAAAGAGACAGTATACGTAGACCAATGACTACACGGAGCACATTTCTAAAATGTTTATCAAGCATCCCTCTATTGCACGCATTTCTTTACAACCACATTAGGCCAACAGTGTTCTATTTTATTTTACTATGAAGTCAAATTATTTTGATCTGAATCTACAAAATGATTACAGGACAGGCAGCGATGAAATAATAAAGGGAGCTACTGTGACTAGAGGTGTCTAAAATAAGGCAATCTATACATTTCTTTCCACAGCAAACTGTTTCGCTTTGTTTTTTCAACCTTAAAATGATCATGTTTCTTCATTTTTCTACCCATTCACCAGATACAGGCGACAAAGTATATTGTATAGGTAATACCGGAAACAACAAGAACACTATTTCGCTGTAGAATGAAGCAGGGGGAAATGCTAATAACGTCAACCTTAATATATATAGTGAAATTTCAAATATTTTCTTTTCTCTTTAGACAGAAAACCCAGGAAAAGGCCCATACACGTACCCTAAACGTTGGACTACCTAGTGATTTCAGGGAAGATTTTGTCTTTCAATATACCGAAGGACATCTTATCGTACGTCTATTGGCATAACTACCGATCAGCTCCTCCACATGGAAAAAGATGAAGAGGGGGACAAAAAAGTTTGGCTTACTTGGTGTACAAATACATCGACTGGAATATCCAAGGGGCTTCCCTCTCGGTTTATCATGGAGATGAATCCAAATCCCATGCGCACATTGAACCACTTACAGTGGCCAGTTCCGCGCAAAACCTGGGATTCCTCCTCTGCCGGCTCCGGCAGCTTCCCGGGCTCTTCTCCACCACCTTTGCTAGCCCCGCCTGAGAAGGAACAGGACAAAAAAGTCAGTCTGTATTCCCATTCAATGTGCATTCAAAGATTAAAAAAAAAAAATTGCCTGCCTGGGGTTGGGGGGGAAGGGTAACAGAAAAAAAAAATTTTTTTTAATGGTTTGATTTCTTTTCTCCACAGAAAATACTTAAAATGAAAAGGGTTAAAAGGAAAGCGGGGGAGGGGGAAGCCACACTGTTCTATCGATCACACCAACTTCCACGTTTCTATACATACGTGTACTTATTCATTTAACTCCATTTTTCAGCCACATTTTACATTACAGCATGCGATACTTTACTTGTATATTGCTGATTTAATACTGATCCCATTGACAAAGAGAAATTTTCAGCGAAACTATTCTCTCCGGCGGGCACGAGGAGGAAAGAGAAATCGTGAAGATGGTTTAGAGCTACTAGTTAAGGCACATGGGGCAGCACTGAATCCAGCGTTATTTGCAATGTGCATTCCCCTCCCCCCCATAACTTTCAATTAAAGTTGGGGTGGAATGGGGGAGGGGGCAGGTGTATAAAAGTTTTCTTGGAATCACTAACTGAAACTGCGCTTAATCACACTCACACAATTCAAACAATAGCCCCCTGAAAGCTTTTCAAGTTGTGAATCAGTGTGGGCGGTACAAAACATTTTTGGAGATCTATAACAATAGGTTTGCAGAAAGCCCCACTGCGTGATGGGGGGTTGGGAGGTAATGCCCAGTATTGGGGTAAAAGGGGAAGGGGGGGACGGTCTAAGAAGGGTGGGAGAGGGGGAGGGGGAGGAGAAAAGAAGAAAGAAATTCACAGTAAAACAATAGAAAAGAAAATTAACCTTCGGCCATGTTGCCCCACGGGCCCTCAGCTCCAAACTCGTGAGATGAAAACTTTCCCTTTGGAACGGAGTGATCTTCTGCATCAATCTAACATCTTGATTTTGTGCGATCACAAATTTAGCTCGCATGGTCTAATGTGCTTTCCTTCTTTTGATTTTTTTCTCTCCTCTCTCCAGTTTCTGGCCCCCTGAGCACACGTGACTTTGTCAATTACATGCTTTCTTGCTACTAATTTCACCTCGTATCCTTAAGGGGCTGGCAAGAGGAAGAGATAACCAATCGCCATTTCATCTATGCTGACATCAAAATAATTTATGAATGAACACGAAAAACTCAAACATGTTATCTTAAAGACAATTTGGAACGCTTCTTTAGGATAAATCAGAATGCTGATTTCGTGCTTCTACTTAAACACAATGGAGGGACCTTGTGAATCATAGATTTAGAAAAAAAGGCAGTCATATATGTGCACACGCGTGCCTTACACACAAGCCTGACTAAAATCATGGGAGGGGGTCGTTTAAATAAAACAACCGATGTTAACGCTTTTTTTCCCCTTAAGAATTCAGCTATTCCATGGCAGTAAACCTGCTTGGAACGCTAATTTCATATTTAATTCAATTCTTAGAGGAAAATATATAATTTATAAAAGATCTAATTAAACCTAATTACATCCCCATGAAACTTTAGATAATGAAAACATACACCTAGGAAAAGGCAGAGGCACATAAATTACCTGATTATGCCCGAAATTTTTTCAAATTTAAAATAAAATCCTACTAGAAAAATCGTTTTCACCTTCATATAGTCAAATTGTGTTTAGGTAAACCATTTTGGAAAATTTTAGAGGGGGTTGGTAAGGAATTGTACTTCACAGGTTTCTCTGCCATCTCTTTCCGGGGGAGGAGATGTGATTAATGACTTCCTAAATAACAGCCCAGTTTTCCAGCCTAACATAGAGTGAACCTCAATCAGTGGCGATTGTTCCCCAAGAGCTGGAGGACATAGGGCAGGAGGGGGAGGGGATCGCCAGGCAGGGGAGGTGAAGAGGAGCCGCCAGGATAGGCGGCAGCAGAGTCAAAGAAAGAGGTGGGAGAGAAAAAAAGCCGGCGCGGGCAGGGGGTGGGGTGGAGAAAGAAGGACAAGTGGGAGAAAAAAGGTAAATTCATATCATATTGACTTGTACCCTGACATTTTAAAAGTCCACTACCAATGGCTAGAAGAGTTGAATAAACGAAAATGTAACAACGGATGAAGCTCCTACTGTCCTTCCTCAACTGACCCCCAGTTTCAAAATGCCTACCCCCTTTACCTTTCAAACTGGTTCAAACGATTGATTACAAGATGCTGGCAACAGTATTTCTGCCCTTATCGAATACTATAATAAATATTATAGATTAACTAAAAAGACTTTATTTCCTTTAAAATATAAAATATCGCTATTTTAAAACCTTAAAATGCACCACCAGACTTGCCTACCCCACCCCCCATTTTCTTAAACAAGCAGTTTACCAAGAAACTAACTGTTCAGATACCACTTCCTTCGACAAAGCTACCGAGTTGACCCTCCCCCACCATGCCAGCAATCCCCCTCCCAGTCTCTTCAAACACATCCACACTCCAGCACTGTTTCACACAAGCTAAAATGTAGGGATTATGAATCGAAGAGCTATGGAAAAAGCTGTATACACCTATTTATACTCCCTCCCCATATTAAACAACTAAATATAAATTTAATTGGCTCAGATTGGAAAATGGATGTATAAAAAATAGAAGTTATTTTCAGCTGTTTTTGATAAAAGGTTTAATGAAAACTAATCAATTTGGAAAGATTTTTTTTTTTGTCTGTTATTCCTTTTGTTATTTCTCAGGAAAAAGGGCTACTTTCTCATTTTATTTATTTTGGGAGGAATAATCCTGTGCCAGCTGTTAGGGAGAAAAGAAAAGGTGCAAAAATCCAATGACTTTGAAAGTTTAACAAAAGCTCAAAGCTCTGAAAAAATTATTTACTAACAAAACATTTACTAGGCATTATTTTGATGGTAGAAATTACTTCTATTATACTGATTACACTGACAAGAAAGTAATCTCAATGATGGCATTACAGGCTAAGCTTGTGACATAATATGAAATCGAGAAAGTAATTTATATTTTTTCATATTTTAATAATCACTTTAAAAAATCAACATCTGGTATAAGAGGAAAAAAATCTCAGAAAGTATTCATGTAAATTGAGGTGAAATGCTATTACTTACATAAAAGTAATGATCACAAAATTCACAGGCCAGTATAGTTTAGCTTTGTAAAATATTCATTTAAGTTTGCTTTTAATTAGAAAACAGTTTAATCATTATAAAACCAGAAGCATAATAATGTAGGTAGATTCAGAATCTGTTTATTGTTAAATTTGATGAAATTCAAATTTATGAACATGTGGGTGAAAAGTGGAATACCATAACTGAACTACACTGTACAGTATAGTTATGAGATTCACAGTCTTGCCTGATTGGGGGCCTCCAGTATTAGTGGAATTAAGGTAAGGTTCACTGGAGTGGTCACTGGTGTCAGAGGTTATCGACTCATTCATTTCCTGAGAGGGACATCAGCCTTTCAAGTTGTGTAGAAGGCTTTTTCCAACTGGTAACCCTGAAAAATCCTCTAAAATTCGTTCATGAAGAATTTAAGACAAATGCATTTACATACCTTGGGGGAGGGTAAAAGAAAGGGGAAGAGAAGAGGCGAGGGAAGGGTAGAGGGAAAAGGAAGAAGAAAGCAAGGAAGTTGGAAAGGGAGAGAAGTAAAGGAAGGAGACACATTGAGAAACACAAAATAATCACTCACCAATTTAAGAATATGGCACTGTTTTTTCTGTGCCTTCCCCCAAAACTTTTGAGCCTAAAATCCTTTTATAATATAAATTGCCCATAAGCTTTTAAAGCTCCTAGAGTGCTTCTTTCACAGAAAGTCGTCCTATGAGTCTTCTAGAATGCTTTCCAATTTGTCACTTTCCTGAAGTCTTCTGGTTTTAATTTTTTTCTCATTTCCTACTTGGTTTTAGTGCCTGAAAGACCTGTGTTTGACTCAAAAGGGGTGTTTTATTCCTGCAAAAGCCAAATACTTTATAGCTTGACTTATAGTTCTTTCAAAATGTCTTTAAAATGAGTTCAAGTAGCTACAAAGAATCGTCAATGTACTGGGGGGAAAAAGCAAGGAAATAACCTACCATATGCCTGTTGGCTATCACAATCATCCCCATTTAAAAAACAAGGTACACGTTTTCCCAGACTTTTTTTCCAACAGTACAAGGAGCCGAAAGAGGTGCCAGAGCCCACCGTCGTTGTTTTCAATTATAAGGAATGAGTGA
Source organism: Homo sapiens (assembly GCF_000001405.40). Lineage (NCBI taxonomy): Eukaryota > Metazoa > Chordata > Mammalia > Primates > Hominidae > Homo > Homo sapiens. The sequence continues at coordinate 104,953,895 of NC_000006.12, read as the reverse complement.
CTTCTGTTAAAGCAGAAACAATGCTTCGGTTCTTCTTAAAACTAGGAGGAGGGGCTGTGGCAATGCGGCAAGTGACTCCACCCGTCCTCTCCTCCCCGCAAATAAGGCGGGGTCTGTAGCCCAGCGCTGCCATCGCAACCCGCCTCTCCAGGCAGGTCGCTCCCCAGGCGGCCGAGACCTGAGACCCCAGACCCCGCGCCAGCAGATCTGCGCTTTCCCTCCACCTCCTGCCTCTGCAGCTTCCTCTCACCTTTCTTTCCTCAGTCACTTTTCCCTTTATTCGTCACTTTACCATCTCCTCTCCCTAAGTGGGGTAGATCCAAAGGCTGGTGATTTCTCACTAATTTAGGGACTTTTACATTTGTCATCTTGTCCCCAAGAACACCAAACAAAAGAAATCCCTGCCTTCACTACTATGGCAAAAACACTACGCACAACCTACTATTTTTACTGAATTTCCAGACGTATATCACTTATAATTTGATCCCTTTTCCTATGAGATGCCAGAATCTCCTAAAGCTAAGATAAGTGCGGTCAAAGAGAGGGAATCCGAACCCAAGAAAATGAGCACCCCCACCCCCACCGGGCCATGCCTAAAACTGAGCTGTCTTCCAGCAAACCCGGCGCCGTCCTTTCGGGAAGCCGCGATGGCAAACGTCGCCCTGGGCCTTCGGAGGATCAAGAAAAAACGTCGGCGAGAAAGGGCTGGACGCAAGGCTGGGGGCGATTTTCGGGATCTCTCTCTGCCCCTGGCAAGATCTCTCCCGCCTGAAAGCCGCCGACCCGCCCGTCGGGCAAACTGTCCTGATTCCTTCCGCCGCGTTTTGGTAAACCACTTGGCGGTAACTTTCTTGACATTCCTACGACATGGAGACAAATGCAAGGCGCGCCCGACTGGGTGCTTGGGTCTTGCAGCAGAGGCACTTCAGAATATAGTTGGGTCGCTTTGCTTTTGTTTCCAAAAAGCAAAATTCTATTCTCATTTAATTTCCTTGTCTGGAGGCAAAATGCTCTGGCTTCACACAATTGGTCCAACGTTAGAATTTTTATACAGAGGTAAAAATCTCTCGAGACTTTCATTAAATACCTTAACACACTTTCCCCAGAATAATAAAGTAAAATTATGGAAATACAGAAACGGATTAGCATAAATTTTAAGTTTTCCACACAAATTGCCTTTATATTTCAAAATTTGCCTTTATATTTCAAAATTTCCCTTTACATTTCAAAATTTGCAAATGCTTCCTTCTTTTTGGTCAGTTATGTTTCAGCAAAATATTTACAACAAAATTCAGAAAAGGAGCATTATTTTAAGACTAACATTCTGAAGAAAGAATTTTTTAACTTTTTTTAAAAATTATACATAATAGCTGTAGAAAGTATCTTTTTAAAAACCTGGAATAGCAAAAATCCTATTACATTAACATACTTCTCTCCCAATAAGCAGGAAAAATATTTTCCAAACTGTGCTCAACAAATACTTTCTTAAATTACTTTAATTAGAATAGTAACAGGCTAGAAAAATCATTTAGTACTAAGTTTTACATTACTTTGCCCAGAATGGCACAAAAGGAAGCTTCATGTTTTAGCTGCAAAATGAAAGTATTTTTCAACTGTACTACTTGAACATGTATGTTTCCTAATTTAAAGGTCTTTTTGCAATAAATACCATGAGTCTGTGGAGCAAACACTAAATAATGTTAATATACTATTCTTTCTTCCTCCCTCAAGCAATGAATAAAAGTATTCTTTAAAGCTCTATTTCATCAAAAGAAATAATCAACTGAAATAAGAATGTGGACTGTCTCCCAGGTATTTATTTCAATATTTACCCTTTGGGTTTATTTGAGGGGAGAGGGCAAGTATATCAGAAATGAAAAAGGAAAGAAGAGTGGCAGGGTAAAAGATGAGACAAGTTAAAAGAAATCTTCAGGCTTTAAAGATGCCTGAAGCAAATCAGCATGTGTGAGAAGCAAATCTGTGGAGAAAAAGCCCAGCTAGAAAATGGAGGCCAGAATTCTGGTCCTATTTACCAATTCTGGTCCTATTTACCAATCTGTGGCCTTGGGCTAATCACTAAACTTCTCTGGAACTCAGTTTCTTCATCTGTAAAGTGAGGAAACTGGACCAGCAAATATTCAAAGTCTTTTAACTTGAAATGTAATCTCTAGAAATAACCATTCTTCTGGTGAAAGTTGTACCTTTCCCCTCCGATCCTTTTTAATCACAAGGAAATACAGACATGAAACTTTATTGCAGTCACTTAACACATTGGTGTTAACATTATTTCCCAACAGAAAAGAAAAAGGTCTCTGAACTGGCCCCAACAGAAAACCACAGTCGATAATAAGGGGAAAAAAATAAAAAATTAATAAATGAAAACAATAATAAGAGGAAACTAGGTGGTATACTAAAACATTTGTACCAACTTTTGAGAATCTTCTTTTTCATGATATTAGAGTATCACCCCTATGTCAAGATTCACTCCAAAAAAAAAGCAGTTTCTCAAATGGAAATCCTATCATGGTTTCCTCATCCAACTTTTTGATCCTTACTGCTTTCCTCTTGCTACTCACAATCCTATATTTGAAAAGTTTAATAACAGAATAACATCATTTTACTTGTAGTTATTATTAATATTCATATACTTTGCAATATCACAGCTCCTATGTGTGCCTTCAAAGTGGTATGGTCAAGCCAGAGTAATAAATTATCATCAAATAAGATTGTTACTAAAAAATGGTGCTATAACTTTTAAGTTAATTTTAATAATATAAGAAAGCATGTCAAAAGTCTGGGTTTAAAATATTAAAGTTCAAATGACTCAGCTTTGTCATATGAAAACGAGGAGCAAATTCTGATATATGTTTATGAAAAGCAACACAGAGCTTCCTAGATAAGAAAAATTTCCTCAAAATGTCTAATATATTGTGCTATTTCTGTTATGATAAATTATTTTAAAACAGCACCATGTCTCCATTTTTAATTTAGTTCAGCAGATATTCGTTAGTGCATATTTTACTTTGGGAGTTACAAAAATGAACAAACCATGAATACTTTTCATTCATCTCCATAAGCATTTAAATATCTGTTATCTATGCTGCTTGAGTTACAGAAAAAGGAATCACAAAATACAATACTGCTAAAAGTGGGGGTGGGGGGAAAGGGGTTAATTAGAAGAGGTTGTCCACGTAATTCTTATGGGAACACCAGTTTTTTAGATGGAGTGATCAGGACGAAGTATAGGAGGACTTGGTACCTGTCTTGCCAAAGTAGAAAGGATGGAGAATTCCTGAGGGCTGTCAGGTTCTCATATGCCTCTAGCGATCTTGATCTTTTAAAACATTAATTAAACAAAATATTTAAAAAAAAAAAAAAAGACTAACCTGGGGCTGATGAAACCTGGTTGAATGACCTCATCCTCTTCTGAAGAACCTAAAATCAGAGAGCTCAAGTCAGTACTACATTAATTGCCTATTTAATTGCCTCTTCTTCATCCTAATGGCCATTAGAAAGCAATAAAATGCCCAGGTTTTGACTCTGTGAAGAGACCTGTAAACTTTTTTTTACAGTTTAAGACTCACCTAGCAAAATTAGATAACCAATTGGCATATACTTGCCTTTTATATCTAGTAGAGGACACTAGTTTAAAGAACATTTACAACATTTAAGACCATTAAGATGCAGTCAAAAGATCCCAATATCACGAACAATGCAGTTTAAATTTTAATATTTAATTTTACACTGTAATTTTAAAATACTAGTATTTTTTCCAAGCACAGTTAAAATCTACTTAACCTAGAATATCATGTTTCTTGAAGAACTAACTTCTTTGACTATTCTCTTCAGATATATTTCAGAAGATAAATCATGAGAATCTAACGATGGTACTATAAAATAGATATTGGGGCTGTTGCAGTCAAGTGAATGAAAAATTACATTAATGGTAATACATTTAATCATTAAGTATATTTTTAAATATCTAATATGCATTTTAACTTATATTTTTAAATGGGTTAATGTTTTTTAAAAAGCAAACAGTTCTCATTTTTTAAATATGAGTAAATATTGATGTTTCTAATACATCCATTGGCAGATGCCACAACACAATAAAACTTGCAATAAAGAGGCCACACAGTAATCAAGTATAGTGATTGGAAGAGGAACTCCTGGTGACTACTAAATTATTGTTTTTATCCTTGGGTCAGTTATTAAGGTTTGCAAAACAGATTGGTGTGAACATGCATGCACTCACCTGCTACACCCAGAGTTGTCTTTCCTTAACTAAGTTTTACACACTAGACCTACTATATCAACTCACAAAAAATAAGTAAAACCATTCTGTGCAAATTATTTAAGTTGCAATCTAATTTTCTTCTCAAAAGGAAATGGAGACTTTTCCAAGTGCAGGGTTCTACTGAATGTTGACCCAAGGTTCTTTTTACAAAGGATGACAATCCCACCGAGTTAGATTTGAAAAGAATAGAGGAAGAATGTGAACAAAAGGCACGTGAACCTCTGTACATTAAATCCTTCACTTAGCCTGTGTTTACAACCAAAAGACACAAGATAATGACAGATCCTAACTTTAACAAAATTCATTACAGACACTTAATGAAACAGAGCTTTCCTTTACATTGATCCTGTATCAAGTTTTATTTTGCACATCTGGCTTATGTGTGAGTATATTTAATTATTGTACATAAATATTTCAGCACAACTGTAGCTTCTGCCTTTCTATTCTAATAGTCCACAGCCTATTCTTAATCCTATCTGCTTATATTTAGAGAAGAATTCAAGCCAACATATTTTAAAGATGTGTAAATACAATAGATAGGGTTTGTTAAAAAAAAAAAAACTTTGCAAATAATTTGGACAAACTATCACAAATAGGTTTAATAAAGCCAAAATCAAATAATGTAAGAAAGTTAGCTAAATAATGCTATTTAATTCAAGAGCTCTAACTATTAGCTTTTGGAGTTTTTTTTAAAAAGCCAATTTGACTGACAATAACATTCAGATTTTTCACTATTCAAACTTACATATGATGTCCTTGGTTATACTAGTTTTAACAGTAATGTCCGCTTCAAAGGAAAAGTAACATGAAATTATTTCACAATTAATGTTTTTCACTAATATTAATGGTTTAAAATTGTTCAAAAACAAGAGTAGAAAAAATAGCATTGTTTAAATGTAGATATTATCATGTATCCATCCAATATTGACTGAACAACTATAATAGGAATGAGACAGGTATAAGCTGTAAAATATTTATAATTTTAAATGTTCATATTCTTATTCTAGGTGACTGTTTTTTGAAATGAAATATCAGGAGTTAAAATAATTCTTCAAATGCATGAATACTCCAAAAACAGCCACTGACATTTTATACATGAGTATTTATATGTAATAATTTTTTTTCTTTTTTTAGACGGAGTTTTGCTCTTGTTGCCCAGGCCGGAGTGCAATGGTGCAATCTAGGCTCACTGCAACCTCTGCCTCCTGGGTTTAAGCGATTCTCCTGCCTCGGCCTCCCGAGTAGCTGGGATTACAGGCATGTGCGACCATGCCTGGCTAATTTTTCTATTTTTAGTAGAGATGGGGTTTCACTATGTTGGCCAGGCTGGCCTCGAACTCCTGACCTTGTGATCCACCCGCCTCGGCCTCCCAAAGTGCTGGGATTACAGGCATGAGCCACCGTGCCAGGCCTTGTATTTAATACATTTTGTTAAAATATTTTATTTAACAGAGTTCATTACGTTTTCTTAGAAAACAAAAACCTAAACCTATGAAATCCCAAAATACACTTCTTTGCCCCTACACGAGAATAATCTCCATTCATCATTTAGATCTCTACTTAGAGCTCTTTTTCATACTGTTCCATACTGAATACAATGTCTCTACCATGTAATAGTGTACTGTGGTTTATTATAACAGTCCATGAAAATGTTCTCTCTCCCAACTGAACTCTATGCTCTGTGATTAGAGAGACTGTGTATATTTAGCTCATTATTATAATTCTGGCATTATTTTGTATTCATTATATTTTTTGAACCAATGACAACGAATTCCTGTACCGAGGTTGATTATTCCTAGGTTGGCTTTTATAAAAAAAAAAAAAAAAAGTACGCAAAATGTTTTGTTAAACCATCTTTTCATAAAAAATAATTGGATAGGCAATTAATCTCTTATAAATATAAAATACATATATTACAAATATAAAATACATATATACAAAATAATTCCAATTATTTTAATTTAAATATATGATTTACTGCTATAGGAGTGCCTAACTTATAAAGAGTATCCATCACAAACATTCTTAGATTTCACACTTTCTACTAAAATATATAACAATATTCTTCACAAATACATTATATATTGTTCATTGTTAAAATCCACTGTTGTAACTAAATGTAAAGGAAAATGACTGCTATTATGAATTATATATTGTAATTCACTCAAAAATTGCCAGCTGGTGTGGTGGCTCATGCCTGTAATCCCAGCACTTTGGGAGGCCAAGGCAGGTGGATCACTTGAGGTCCAGAGTTCGAGACCAGCCTGGCCAACATGGTGAAGCCCATCTCTACTAAAAATACATGAATTAGCCAGGCGTGGTCGTGCATGCCTGTAATCCTAGCTACTGAGGAGGCTGAAGCAGGAGAACTGCCTGAACCCGGGAGACAAGGGTTGCAGTGAGCCAAGATCCCGCCACTCCACTCCAGCCTGGGTGACACAGTGAGACTCTGTCTCAAAAAATAAAAATAAAAATTGCCAAGCTGTTAAGCTCAGATAAATGAAGTGATAAATAAAAATAAATTACTACTACATTACATATTACTCAGAATTTTATTTCAATTCACATCATGCTAACTTTTACTTCTAATACTAACAAATGCAAAATTTACTTTAAGTTGCAAAAATGATTTAACAATCAGGAATAGTATTCACCATAATAAGAAAAATTATTTCATTACTTATTCTCATCTCCAGAATTTTTCAACATTTTAAAAAATACTTCAGATAATTTTTTGTTTCTGTTATAGTATTTTCTAAAATAACATAAGTGTAAAGTACATTACAACTTACTATAATAAATATTCACTTTATGGTTTAAAGAAAAATTAATCTATAGTATGTGTCAACTATCACTGAACTACATTCTTTGGAAAGCAACACACATTTTTCTTTCCTAGCAAGAGAAAACGTTTTAAAATAACATTACTTAAAATCATATAGCAAACATATTAATATTACACTAACACCAGAGTAAAACCCAAAGCACAATACTGATTTAAATTGACTATAACTTAAAATATAACACACACACACATCAAATAAAATATTAAACATGGAAGTTCAACACTGAAGTGAATGCAGGTGCTTTATGAAAGTGTTTCCTTACATTGTCCTTTAAACGAACATTTAATATCTATTACAAACCTTACTGTAATTATTTTTTGCAATTAGTCAACAGACTAAATTCAAATGCTGCCTCAGTAAAATCAGGATAAATTATTTTGCAATTTAACTGAACATCCTACTTTAATCATAGATGTAGCTGGAAATGTTGCTGATGTACCCTCAATCATACACAGGAACAGAAAATCTAAACAAAATAATTTACTTAAAAGTAAGAGAAATAGTTACACATGACTTTCTACAGTTTAAAAATATTAGGCTATTGGAGTTTGAAAACAAGCTTCACATTCGGTGAAATATTTTTACAATTATCAAGAGAACAGAAAATTTTATATTAGGAAAAAATCTCAAAGTTGCATTATTTCTTATATTTATAAAGTATATAATTTAATTTAGAATATATCATATGAAACACTCAACCTTAAATCAGAGGGTAGTATTTTTGGCACTGCTGAATCACAGAGATAAATTTAATTTTCTCAACCATATTACAAATAGAAATTTTATTTGTTTCATATAAGATATGGACACCTCTATCATTCTCTTCAAATACTGTAATAAGAAGAATTTATTTTGGAAAATAAAAACAAATGAGTAATAATTTAAGATGACTGGCATATTTTCAAAATTGTTTAAAGGCAATATTATGGCACAGATAGCAGCTGGCAAACACAATTCTTTAGCTTAAATGTAAGCTATAACACAGTTGAGCCACAGCACAGTTAGTTTTGCTAATGTGTTTGTATTTTCCAACATATGAAATAATAACTTTATGTAATCGAGCTCACAGCCCAGTCACTGTTAGATCACGTTGAAGAAAAGTAAAAGAAAGCGATAGTGGTTTCAAATCAAAAAGATCAAAATAATGGCAAAATTCCTGCCTTAAAAAAGGTAATCACATATACTTTGAAGGCCCACCATAACTTTAAGACAAAACTTTAAAGTGGCTTTTTGATACAGTAAACAAAAATGATTCTAGGTAAAACTGAACACTTCTTTTAATTACAATAATAACAAGGAAATTTTATTGACATACATTTTAAGTTTTAATATACAACATTATTAATGGTTCAAAATTTATATCATCACCAGAGATTAACAAGTAAATGAGAACTTTGTGTATTCTAAATATTTTCAATTAACATTTTAATAAAGATAAAGAGACACTTTACAAGTTACTCATCCTTACAACACTGGGTGACTTACTGATGTAATAAATGTAATAGCAAATAAAAATAATAGGATTTTAACTAACAGAGGAGATTATAACAGACTAATACAAAAGATAACACATAATTTACAGATTTTTTCTAAAATGTTAAATCCACAAAATGTCTATTTTTTAACCTATACAGTCTAGAATATTTTAGTTAAAATGTTTTTGTAAAGTCTGAACAAATGATGCACAGAAAAATGTTTGAAAAACATAAAAGTAGCATTTCGGCTCTTGCCTTTCCAAGTAAGTCTGTAAAATAAATACTGATTTCAAAATATCTAGAAAATTGTAAACATGTTTTTCCACCATTAGAACTGGCCATTCAACATCAAGTCTTTTTTTCCATATAATTAAGCTTTTGTTCCGCTAAGAAAAAACTAGAAACTGGTTGCTTGAAAATGAGCTGCATGCCCTTTGTCCTGATTTGTCACCTTTGACCCTTAATTTGATGATCCTGCATATCAACCCATTCTATTTTTAGAAGAATCATGTCAAAGTTCTATGCTTAAAATAGTACTTTTTACTGATATATTAAATGTATTACAACATTACTTTTCAGGTAATTTCTACAATGGTTTCATACTAGTACTCATTTCATATAATGTAGAGCACAGTAATATTGTAAGCAGTAAAAGCCTGCTGTTTGTCCTGTTTCAAACAATAGAAAATTTCCCCCAAATGACAGGTCAATATCATTATAATTTCAAAATTTATATTCTTATTTTTTAAATTATTTAATGTTTTTAAGTGTAATTTATTTCATGAATGATTTCTAATTTAAGCTTGATATCACATATTTTGATGTTGGTTTTGATAGTGCCAGAATATGAACCTAAATCAAAAATTGCAAATATCAAGTTCATACTCTATCTTACCAGTAGTGTCAACTAAAACTGTACAGTTTTTGAGTTAAATAACTAGTTGCTTAAACGGGTTTTTAAAATCTTGTCATCATCTGCAAGTGGCAGCTTTCAAAGAAAGAGAAAACCTCTAGCATTGATCCTATTGATTTTACTGACATTATTCAAAATCAATGTTACACAGTAAATTAATATACTTCAGGGATAACATTTCTCTATCACAATTTCTGATGATTCCAATTCAACTAGGTGAAAAGCAAAAAAAAAATTTATGAAATATATATGCATATATTTCCTATAGTCATGATGCTACTTGAATCCCTACACAATTTCTGTGTACTGTACAGTTTTCAGTCAGATTTAGCAGGGACCAATATGGCTGTCTTGATTCAGCACTGTGGCCAGCGACTTTGTCGAGCATCATTGTGTCAGAGAAATCCAACACAATAATGTACATGTATACAAGTACATGGTGGGCAAGTTTCTCAAAACAATGAGATTCTGTATTTCATATATTCGAAGACTTATTCATATAAATCAACCTGAAGTATTTGAATGTAAAGAATTTCCATTGTTCTTCTTGGCAAGCTAGAAATACTTTACTTTGTGGTTCATCAAAAACAGTAGTTATTTGTAAAGAAAATACAGTCCCTTTAAAAGTCAAGGAAATAAGGTACAGGTTCAAAAGTATTTAAACAAAAAAAACTGAGTATCTGAGAATTTTAAAAGAAAATTAAATTCTATTAAAAAATACCTAATAAGAAAACGCTTTAGTTGTCCAAAAATTTGTAACGCCACTTTCATAATCAATAATTTAATTACTTCTAAATTGATTCATCCCTGTATGCCCATGTTTCATTTTTTAAATCAATGCAACTTTGGATTAAGATAAATGTTTATAGATCATTTCCTGACCTGAACTTGCTAATACAGTCCCCAAATTTGGTAGCTGTGCCTAGCGCTTCAATTATTTTTAAAGAGACATCACTCACACCTGAAGACTGTTATTCATACATGTTTTATTTAATAACTTATTTTCTTCCTTTAATCATGATTTGTAAATTATGACAGCAGTGTGTCACAAAACCCTAATCATGTTACCAGATCAGATACCAAGCATTATCAAACTTTTAGGCAGGTAAGATCTATTTAATCTTCTCTTTCTTCAGAGTAAACCGGAAAAAAAAAGCCAAACTTAAATTCACCGTATTTTGGGATTTATATGTGCAATAAACTTAAAAACAAGTTATTCTGAAGACTAACTTTGAGCACTACTATTTTAAATCTCGATTTGCTTCCCTTACAAAGTATAAGATTGACATACCTCGCCTCACAACCTAGCGATTTTTAAATTTAAATCTTGACTAATTTCACAACAAACTTTTTATTGTTTCTGAAGTCTAGCAGAGAACATACATAGTAAGACACCATACAGTCTGACAAGGATTAATGAGAATATAATTATTGAATCATTTAGTTCCAGATCTATTGAGAAGCACCTATAAAGTTACCAAAAACCAATATGCATTACAACCCGATCCAATTCCTTAAATTTTTATGACCTTATATTGTAAAGCAAAGATTAGCTGATCCTACTTGTAAAATGGAAAAGTCAAATAAAACTTTTTTATTCATTGGTAGAAGAGGCCTTGTGTCAGTTTCATTTCTAAAGCTCTGTAGGAAATTAAGCACACTGGATTGCTGTGTTTCATACATGCAAAGATAAATAATTTGGCAGGCAAGAACCTTCCCTAAGATGGACAAGGGTGTAATTATTATTGAAAATGGAATACTGATTATTACATTCTCTTCTGTTAATTTATCATATGACTCCTCTATAAAATCTATGCAAATTCACAGCAGAAGAAAAAAAGGCATAAATTTCATAGCAAATTTATTTTTTCATACAAATTGGCATATATTTCCAAGAATTCACCCTTAACTTTCAAATCTTCCCTGAAAGCTTTCATAAAACTGTGATGTTTTATACTTATTGTTGGACGTAAAAATGTGCTTTTTAAAAAAGCACTTTTGCATTATCTAAGTAAATATGGTAATAACCAGCACCAAAAAAAGAAACATTAATATTTTCTTGATTAAAAATCACTTTAAGTCATATTTTCCCAGCAATGTTGTAAAACGTTTTAAATTCATTCTAATACTAGTTGTCAGGTGTAATTTTCACTTCCACAGTATTTGTGATCGATAAATAAAAAACTACAATAGAATAGGAGTATAATTTATTTTCCCCTTGCATTAACAATAATAGGTATAAAAATCTACAGTGGAGAATTTAGTTCCATGAACAGTGACACTTGGCAACCTTAAAAACCTACGGATGAAAACAAACCCACAAAGAACTGAAGGGAACTCAAGGAAACACAGGCACCTAAGATTTCATTCTGTGTTACATGAAACAATTCAAAATGGCGGACTTACTATTACTTACATTTAAGAAATTTCCGCAATAAGGGCACTAAATACATACTGTTAGATTTTACTCGAAAACACTCAATATTTACCAACGTGCAATTTTTAAAAAAAGTTTTTGGAGTACAAATCTTCACAAAGCACCCGCATCCAATGTTCCAGTCAGTAGTCAGTTAATGCTCCTGCAAACGTATCATTTCCTCTTTGGTTTTTCCTTTTCAAAAACAACCTAAATCCAAGTGCGTTCTTCCCCGTTCTTTTCAAAATCCTTAATTTTAATTCATGAATTTACATCACCGATACCAAAGCAAAAACGATCCCCGACGCCTGCCCGGTACAAAGCAGTTCGGCTTGCGGAGCGCGAAAGGGAGGTGCGCACGCCCTCTGGCGGCGCGGCCCCGTGCGTCCCAGACGAGCCGGCACCGGCCGCGAGGACCCGCCGCCGGGACCCCAGCCTGCGCCGCACCCTCGCGCCCTGCGCCCCCGCGTGGCCTGCGCCCCCGCCCTGCCCCGCCCCGCCCTCCCGCTCCAAGCCGGCTTTGGCCGCCCGGCAGCAACCGCAGCGGCGAGCCTGGGCGGCCGCTGTGGCAACGCAGTGCCCACACCGGGCGCCGACCCAGCAGCACCGAGCGGGGAGAGAAAGGTGTGAACCCGGAAGTACATCGACTGCCCGCGTCTTAGCGGCAGCACCGGGGCAATAAATCAGGGCCGGCGAAGGAAAGACGCGGCGCGCCGGCTTCCGAACCGCAACTTGCTGCGAGACCTGTCACTTCCCCGCGGTGCCCAGTCCTCGCCCCTCCCTGGCGCTCGCGCCTCCTCTTTTCTTCCTGCTCCTCAGCACGGAGCTCCCCTCGACGTTGCTCACGTGCCAGACTCGGGACCGCGAGCGGCGTCCGCACCCGCACGCACACCCGGCCACGCTCGCACTCGCGCGGCCGCGGGGCCGGCTGCTTACCTCCGGGGCCTCATGGTCGCGTCGCTAGCCTGGGTGTGAGAGGGGGAGAGGGTGTGAGGACGTGTGTGGCGTTCAGTCCCGAAGGACGGGGCGGAGGAAGGGGCCTGGAGTCTGTCACTTCCTGAGGGAGCGCGGAGGTCGAGAGACCTGTGAGGCGCGCGGCGGGGCCGGGAGGGTCAGCACATTGTGAGCCGGCAAGGGGACGCGGAACAGCCGGGCGGCGCGCGGCCACCGGGCACGGAATCCGCTGTCGCCACCACTCCGCCGCCGCAGCCCGGCGAGTGGCGGGGCGCGGGGAGGAGGGGGCTGAGCCGGGTGGGGGAGCGCGGGGCGCGGCGGCGGCACCAGGCGGTTCGACTGGAGCCCTGCGTCAGCCGGCGGCACGCGCACACCTGCCCGCCGCCGCTACCGGCCGCGTCATTGGCTGCCGGCGCCGAGCGCGCGAGATTGAACCTTCCATTCATTCCAGGGCCGGGCGGGCGAGCGCGGCCGCGGTGGAGCTTTACCGCGGGCGCCCCCGAACCCCCGAAGCGCGTCCCCGCGCAGGCCGTGGGCGCGCACGGCCGCTGCCGCCGTTTGTTCTGGTGGAGGCTGCGAGTGCCTGGGCCTGTGACTCCCGGCTCTCCGCGCGCAGCGTCAGTCTGGGAGGGAAGCTCACATGGCGGTCCCTAGGGTGCGACTGGAGGGAGGCGGGACGATGCTACTCCTTGCTCCCCAACCTGACACCTTGGTGCGGTAAAACTGTAAGAAGGTAACAAAATCATATCTGAAGCCCAGGTCTTCTTTTCTTTTACTACAGATGCCCTGGACATCATTCCGAACAGCACAATTCAAGGTAATAATAGTCATGTATTTCAGAATCCAGTGAGCATGGTAGACAATGCCAGAAGTTTGGGGAACCTACTGTCAGCTGTTTCTTTTCCTAAACAATAAGATACTCAACGTCAAATTGGATGATACAAACTTAATCATCATCACTCAAAGAGCCACAAGATCTGGGGCCAAAAATACTGTGATATATACACATATTTAGCTTGGTATTTTGGTATATGTTCCCAAAATATCACTGCTTTCTCTCCTATAATTTTCTACCTGATAATTTTATAGTTCTTTCTTATACTTTGGGTAGTTTCTCATCAGACTTTCAGAACTAAACAGTACTAGTCAATCATTATCTGACCAGCTAAAAAATCGAATATCGCCTTGTAATCTGGACTGTTCTGTGGAACTGACTAAAGGGATTAAATATTTCAGCAAACTAAAAATTTGTTCAAAAATTTAAAATATAGGAAATCAAATTAAAAGTGGAAAACTTTTCAAATGAAAACACTTTCATTTGAAAGTAACTAATAAAGGCCAGTTCACTGGCTACTATTGTATGACTAAAAGGCAAATCTCCAAACCGTTGCTGTGTGATGATACATTTCTCCCTTCCAATTTCTGGATTGGGATTAAGAAACCAATGTATCTATCAAGGGTAACCACAGTCTAGAAAAAAGCATCTCTGGCCTGGGAGTGAGATCAATGCAGACAAACTGATCAGAAGCAAAATCCTGTTGTGACCCCTCCTAAGAATTTTCCACATTGGCTACCACCTTCAGCAAATTCCCTGGATGGCTGCTCAACTTTCCATTGAGCTAGTGGAGTGAATACCACTTACTTTAAAGATGCCTTTTCACTGGCAAGTATGTAAAGTATTTCTTACATTACTTTGCGAAGTAGTACAGAGGATTCTTTCAGATACAATTCTTAGTTATAATCATTGTATCAATTTACACTATGATTTCAAATATAATTTAGAGGAAAAAGATGTGGACATTGATTACTAGAAATGAAAAACAGCAATTAATTATATCACCATCTGAAATGTGATATGCTTTGACTTTAAAGCATTATAGTAATTTTTTATTTATGAGTAGAGCTTACAAATGCACTTACAGAATGAACTGTTTTTTTTAATAGCTATGTTTCTAGGTATTTTGTAAGCCTTTCAGCATTTAAGTGTGATGTATATTTATGCAATACCTATTTAAAGTCCTGAGAAGAATTGTAAACAGAAAATAAAAAATTAAAACACAACCCAGGGTTAGTATCCCAGCACTCAAGAGTTCATCCTTTTTTTTGATTTCAAACTAGTTATCATCATGCCATCATGCTCCTGTGACACAAATAAAAAATGGGACATTATAATATTTAATGTATTATTTCATATAAGGTACCCGAAAGGGGCGATGATGAACATTGATAGGCTAAGCATTAAGGAGTATGTTAGCATGATTAGAAATGAATGAAAAGCCATAAGAACAAAGGAATTTATCATTTACGTATGGCTCTTGGCAATTTCTTTTTCTTTTCAGGTTTTTTTTTTTTTCTTGAGACAGGGTCTCACTATGTCCCCCAGGCTTGAGTGCAGTAGTGCAATCTTGGCTCACTGCAGCCTCCACCTTCTGGGTTCACGGGATTCTCGTGCCTCAGTCTCCTAAGTAGCTGGGATTACAGGCCTGCTCTACCACACGCAGCTAATTTTTGTATTTTTAGTAAAGATGGGGTTTCACCATGTTGCCCACGCTGGTCTCAAACTCCTGGCCTCAAGCAGTCTGCCCACCTGGCCCTTCAAAGTGCTGGGATTACAGGCGTGATCCACCATGCCTGACCTTGGCAATTTCCTTCTAAAAGTGAACCTTGGCAATTTCTTTATAAAAGTGAATCCCTCTACCTGGGACCATGGTCATAATTTATTTTACCTTATTTCCAACCTCCCCTTTTTTAGAGACTCGGTCTCACTCTGTTGCCAAGGCTGGTGTACAATAGTACCTTCCTAGCTACTGCAGCTTCGACCTCCTGGGCACAAGTGAGAATCCATCTTCAACCTCCTGAGTGGCTGGGACTACAAGCGCCTAATTTTTTTGTTTTTTTTGGTTTTTTTCTGCCTAATTTTTTTTTTTTTTTTTTTTTTTTTTTTGTAGAGACAGGTTCTTGCTCTGTTGCCCAGGCTATTCTCAGACTTCTGGTGGCAAGATATCCTTGCAGTCTTGGCCTCCCAAAGCACTGGGATTACAGGCATGAACCACCATGCTTGGCCTGCTTTACTTTTAGAATATATCTAATAATTATTCCCAAAGAGAACAGGCTCTTACTCTTAATATCTCCAATGCCTACAACGGTTCCTAGAATATGGTAGTGTGTAAGAAATGCTTTTTAATGAATGCATCTGAATGCACCCTGATTATATTTTCAAGGAAATACTTACCAAGACCTTTAGAAAACATAAAATACAGTGTTTCATATTTCTCTTGCCCTCTATTTTTTTATGAGTGGAGTGTATGAAAGCAAACCCCAGGCATCACGTCATTTTACTTACGAATTACAAGTATTGAGTGTTACAATGTTGAAAAACTAGGCTTTTATATTTATTATACTACATTAAAACAATTTGAAAAATAGAGTTGGCCAGGCGCGGTGGTTCACGCCTGTAATCCCAGCACTTTGGGAGGCCGAGGCGGGCAGATCACTTGAGCCCAGGAGTTGGAGACCAGACTGACCAGCATGGTGAAACCGTCTCTACAAAAAATCAGGCAGGCTTGGTGGCGGGCGCCTGTAGTCCCAGCTGCTGGTACTCAGCAGACAGCCGGGAGGCGGAGGTTGCAGCGAGCCGAGACTGCGGCCCTGCACCCCA
The DNA here is from genome assembly GCF_000001405.40 of Homo sapiens. Classification (NCBI taxonomy): domain Eukaryota; kingdom Metazoa; phylum Chordata; class Mammalia; order Primates; family Hominidae; genus Homo; species Homo sapiens. The sequence goes on along the minus strand of NC_000006.12, from coordinate 104,937,336 downwards.
GCCTGGGCAAAATGGTCACCGCGTCTCTACAAAATACTAGCTGGGCGTGGTGGCGCGCGCCCGCGGTTGCGGCTTTTGGGGAGGCTGAGGTTGCCCGCCCGACCAGTACCCAGAGGTTCCAGTAAGCTAAGATCGCACCACTGAACTCCAGCCTGGGCGACTGAGTGAGATCCTATCTCAGAAAGAAAGAAAGAAAAATAGAGTTTAGAAATAAACTGACCTGGCGGCGGTGGCTCATGCTTGTAATCCCAGCACCTTCTTCAGAGGTTGACGTGGCGAATCGCTTGAGCCCAGGAGTTCAACACCAGCCTGTGGAAAATGGCGACCTGGCTCTCTACAAAAAATTCGCTGGGCGTGGTCTGCGCGCCAGTGGTCCCAGCTATTGGGGAGGCTGAGGTGGGAGGATCTCTCCAGCAGGGGGGCGGAGGTTGCAGTGAGCCAAGATTGCGCCACTGCACTCCACCCTGGGCAACAGTGCGATCCTGTCCTAAAATGGAAGAAAGAAAGAAAAAGATTAAAACTAGCTGGCCGGGTGCAGTGGCTCATGCCTGTAATCCCGGCACATTAGGAGACCGAGATGGGCCGATCGCTTGAGTACAGAAGTTCCAGGCCAGCGTGGGCAACAGGGTGAATAGCATTGTATTTGCTTTCTAGGGTGGCTGAAACAACAAAAATGTAACGTCTTACAGATCTGAAGGCTTCCGGGTCGATTCTGGACTGTGATGAGAATCTGTGCCAAGCCTCTCTCCTGGCTTCTGGTAGACTCGGGCATTCCTTAGCTTGTAAATGGCTGCTGCTTGTGTCATCACATTGTCTTCCCTTTCTACTTATCTGTCCCCATGCCCCAATTTTTCCTTTTCAGGACACCAGTCAGATTAGGACCCACCCTAATGATCTCATCTTAACTTGATTAACTACAAGGACCCTATTTTTAAGTACACATTTACAGAGACTGGGGGGTAGGACTTCAACATCTTTTTGGAGGGATGCAGTTCAACCCATAACAAGAATCATTGTTAGAAATGATTTTGCTTCTTCACTGAAAAATTAATATCATTCTGCAGAGAACTGACTTGCTGCACATGGCACAGATTTTTTGCATTTATCATAGTAAAAGAAATCAGTCACAAAAGTTTGTTTTAGACTGCTACATACCTATCACAAATACAAATTATTTCCAACATCAAAAGTTAATAAAGCAAGCACTGTCACCCAAATTATATTGTATCTATTGAGCACTCCCTTATGTACAGAAGAGGAAAATGAGAAATGAACAGGAAGTTTAACATTCATAAAAACTGTTGGCTGGGCGCGGTGGGTCACTCCTGTAATCCCAGCACTTTGGGAGACCGAGGTGGGTGGATCACCTGATATCAGGAGTTCAATACCAGCTGGCCAACATGGTGACACCGCGTCTCTACTGAAAATACAAAAATTAGCCGGGCGTGGTGGCGGGCGCCTGTAGTCCCAGCTACTCCGGGGGCTGAGGCGGGAAAATCGCTTGAACCCGGGAGGGGGAGATTGCAATGAGCCGAGATTGCGCCACTGCATTCCAGCCTGGGCGACAGAGCAAGACTCCATCTCAAAAAAATAATAATAATTCATAAAAATTGTGACAAACTTGTGTTTGTCTATTAAACTGGCAAAAATCCTAACGTTTGACAACACACTGTTAAAATACAGCTTTAAAGTTTTAAAATAATTTTTTGGTGAGGCTATAGATAAACCCATACTTTGATACATTCCTGGTGGGGGTACCAAGGGGGCACAACATTTAGAGAGGGAAATTTGGTGAAATCTCTCAAAATTTAAAATATACTCTATGACTTAGCAATCCCTTTCCTGGGAAATTATCCCAGAGATATAAGTGCATCTTATACAGCAAATGATGTGTATACCTGGATTGATTTTTATAATAGCAAAAGAATGGAAATAGCCTACGTGTCCACCTACAAGGACTGAATAAATAAACAATAGTACACTGAGATGTAAAATCCTTCTGTGTATTTATATGGGAAGAGCTCCACAATACATTGTTAAGTACAGGAAGCTGCATACCAAACATCACATATGCTGCCTTTTGTGTGAGAAAGGAAGGGGATAATGAGAATATATGTTATACTTATTTATATACTTATAATTATATAATATATTTATATACGGAAACACTCAGAAGGATATATAAGAAACTAAACGATTGCGGGCAGATAGGGAGATCAGAATGGATGGAAATAGGTGTGGGAGCAGGATTTAATGTATATTTGTTATATAGTTTTGATTTTTCAGCCATGTGAATGTACAACTTACTTTTAAAAATTTAGTCAGAAAAAAGGTTATAAAACACTATTGATGCTACTTCTATGAAAAATGCCTTTAGAAACCTATATTTTGAAAACTCAAATGCTAAAAAAGATATCCTCAAAAGAAATAGATGAAGCAAATGTGGCAAAATCTTGATAACTGTTATCTGGGTAATGGATATGTGGCATTGTACTAGTCTCTCTAGTTTTATCTATGTTTGCACATTTTCACATTTTAAATGTTCTCAGTCATCAACATTTATGAAATTTCATAAGAGGCATCCTTAAAGTGTTATTTTAAAATTGTTAATGACTAAATATTCTAGGCTCTGGGGAGAATCTGTGTAATTCAGAGCTTTAAGGTAGGTGCTAGAAATAGCCAGTAAAGCCTCCTTTGAATAGATGGTCTTGCCAAGTATGTGGACCAGGAAAAAAAGAATGCTTGGCAGAAAGACTATTTATTATTACAGTTCAGTCATACATGAATCTACAGACCCGAGCTTTTTAAAATCAAACTTCTTTATCCACCTCCAACTTCTGAAAGAATCATTGTTGTTCATTTTTTAATTTTTATTTAAAAGTTTTAAAGCTGTATTTTAAATTATTAGAGCCATGGTGTAAAGGTTTTTATCTTACACCACTATCAGTTTTTTTTAAAAAAAGTGTTATGCACACACCTCTGTAGAGTAGATAAAATATCTTATCCTTCTATCATTCTTAGGTTCATTAGCCAGGGCCCTGTAAATTAGACTAACAAATGATGCAGGAGCCTTTAAAAGATAACGAAGAACTGGAGAAATAATTCCACCTAAGCATTTTTATAGTAGGTTTGTTGAAGAGTGGAGAGTCTTGGAAAAATGTGATAGGACAAAAAGATCTGAGCTAACAGTGGTAAACCGGGAGAAATTTAGTGTGTTCTGTTTGTTTGGATTCCCCTCAGGGTCCCTCCATCTTCAGAGATAAAGATGCCCCCTTCCTCCGTGTATAGGAAGGGCACGTCTCATATGAGGGTCTTATGACCTGCCTCAGGGAAGCAGGGCAAGGTCAGAGAGTTCTAACATCTGCATTTCTCAGATTCCTTCAGCTTAAAATATTCAGTTGCACCAATGCACCATACTTTAGGGTAGAATGCTGTGAACCCCATCACCTTCAATTATGTATATTTATTTATAGATCGTATACTTCTGTACTATAGTACATTATGTAATGTAAAACATGTACAAGTAGAAATTTAAAAGAATGAGATTTTTAAAATTGTAATTATGTGTTTCCCATTCTTCATTGGATTATCTTCTATGCTTATCCCATTTGGAGGCTTTGGGCATCCTATCACTGCGGCCACAAACATAGGCTGGAGGTCAGGGACAGTGAGCAGCCCTAATCCTGCTCTGCTATTGCTTAAGGCGTAATCAGAACAGAAAAAGTGCAAATTAATAGGATGTTTATCCCCACCTCTGGAAAATTAAGATCCAAGACTTAATGTAGGTACATTAGTATCATTTTTGTATATTACAATATAATAATAATTTGCCCCATGAGGGCAGGTGTTTTCCTTATTTTCTCTGGCAACAATAAATAGTTGTAGAATAGATTAAATATTTGCACTGCTTTCATCAAATTATCTCAAGCCTTCAAGGCATAAAATGATTTATTAGCCCCATTTTATAGATGTGAAAACTGGTATCTTAAGTGAGATACATGGGCTTTTAAGCAAAAGAACTAGTGGTCAAATTCAGATCACCTGATGCTCATATGCAGTATTCTCTGTGCTCTAGGGGCTTCTTCAGTCTGACATATTTTTCTTTCAGATTTTCAATTCACAAGTAGGGGAACACCTCAACAACCATTTTTTCATTTATACCTATAAAAAATTTACATATTCTTACAGCCGGGTGCAGTGGCTCACGCCTGTAATCCCAACACTTTGGGAGGCCGAGGCGGGTGGATCACCTGGGGTCAGGGGTTCAAGACCAGCCTGGCCAACATGGTGAAACCCTGTCTCTACTAAAAATAAATAAATAAATACAAATAAAATTAGCCAAACGTGGTGGCTGGTGCCTGTAGTCCCAGCTACTCGGGAGGCTGAGGCAGGAGAATTGCTTGAACCCAGGAGGCAGAGTTTGCAGTGAGCCGAGATCACGCCATTGCACTCCAGCCTGGGCAACCAGGGGGTAACTCCGTCTAAAAAAAATATGTATATATTTACATATTCTTCCTCCATTCCACAGATCTCTTAAATCCTCAGGTTTTAATCTTAACTTTGCTTATAATATCTTTTCCTTTATTCCTATATTTGGCTAGAATTTTGAAGTTTAAAAAAGTATACTGTTATTCAAACTTTTCATTAATTTCATAATTAAATAATTCTAACACTTATTAAATGATTTATTTAAATTAGTGCTCTCATGGCCTTTTTCTATTTTAAAAACATTTCATCCTGCCCAGGTGCAGTTGCTCACACATGTAATCTCAGCACTCCAGGAGGCCAAGGCAGGAAGATCAATTGAGGCCAGGAGGAGTTTAAGATCAGCCTGGGCAACATAGTGAGACCCCATGTTTACAAAAAAAAATTTTAATTAGCTGGGTGAGGTGGTGTGCACATACATCCCTAGCTACTTGGGAGGCTGAGGCAGGAGGATTGCTTGAGCCCAGGAGTTTAAGGCTGCAGTGAGCTAGGCATGTGCCACTGCCCTCCAGCCTCAGCAACAGAGCAAAACCCTTTCTCTAAAAAAAAAAAAAAAAATTTATTCCATCATCAGTCATTGACATGCAATTAATAGAATGAGATTTTAAAAATAAAATTATAATTATATGTTTCCCTTTCCTCATTGGATTGTCTTCTGCACTCATCCTACTTCTTGGAGGCTTCTGGCTTTGAGCATCCTATCAGTATGGCCACAGACACAGGCTGGATGCCAGGGACAGTGAGCAGCCCTAATCCTCCTTTGCTATTGCTTATGAGCATAATGAGAACAGAAAGAGTACAGGGTAAAATTATGGTATATTGATACAAACATTCTGCTGCCATAAAGAATAATTCAATAGAAATAGAATTAAAATAATAATGTTGGGCCAGGCATGGTAGCTCACGCCTGTAATCCCAGCACTTTGGGAGGCCGAGGTAGGCGGATCACGAGGTCAAGAGAGCGAGACCATCCTGGCCAACATAGTGAAACCCTGTCTCTACTAAAAATACAAAAATTAGCTGGGTGTGGTGGCACATGCCTGTAGTCCTATCTACTCAGGAAGCTGAGGCAGGAGAATCGCTTGAACCTGGGAGGCGGAGGTTGCAGTGAGCCGAGATCATGCCACGGCACTCCAGCCTGGCAAAAGAGCAAGACTCCTTCTCAAAAATAATTAAATAATGTCACTAATAATATCTAACAGTTATATAATTCCTATCTGAAGTCTGATACAAGTGCTTCACGTGTGTTCTTTTATTTAATGATCACAACAAACATCTTAGTACAATTGCTAAACTTTTCTACAGGGGAGGCTTTTCCAAATTATGCAGCTGGTAAGAGGCAGAAGAGAAGCAAAGGATGACCATGATCTCAGGTTGTACTTCTTGATTTATTGCTTCTACTCAATGCTGAAATTCTTGAGGCTTGATTCCCAAACAGGAATTACAAATTTAAGAGTGCACCAAATGCTGGCTTTTGGTCTGGTAGGGAAGTTGAGACTTTCCCTCTGAAGATTCAGGTCTAAGTTTGCTGAAATGAATTGACAAAAGACAGATTAATAGGAGAAAAACCAATCAAAATTTATTACGTGCATAGGCACAGGAACCACACGAAATATGAGACTCACAGAAGAGCCAGATGATTAAAGTCTCTATAGCATACAGAAAGGAATAGAGGCTTGGAGTGTGGCAACAGCTTTATGGGAGGGAGAGGGGAGGAAAGGCATGGTGAGCAAAAGCTGTCTTGTTATGCAGATGAAGCCTCAAAGGTAGCAGCCTTTAGAAAGAAAAAAATGGTAGTCTGTGGTAAAAACTTTTCTGTTAGGCATTTAAAAGTGTTAGGACATTTGGTCCCTTTTCCTGGAATCAATCTTTCCTGGGTCTGGATAGGGGGACCCCTGAGAAAGACTCTGTAGCTGCTGTTTATTTCACTAATGTAGATTTCCCCACAGAATGACAGCTTTTAGGGAGCTATTTCTGTGGTCTGTAGCCCCTCTGAATAGCCATCTTAAAATATGCCATGGAAGTATATTTTGGGGTAGCATATTTTGGTTTCCTTCTGTCTCTGAATATATCTTCTGTCTAATCTTCCTCTTTTAAGATTCCATGAAGGGAAGATGACATGCACAAAAGTTTTTAACTCAATCCAAAGATACCAAGCTTAGAAATGGTCTTCAAGGGGCTCCTTATTCCAAATGTTGTATGTGTGTTTGAGTATATGCTTTTAGTGGGATGAGAGCTCACAACCTTCATCACACTCTCAAAGAGATCCATAACCCACAGGAGGTTAAGAACCACTGACTTACAGGATGTGTGAGGATCAGGTAACAACTCTCCTCTAGGAGTACCAGTGCTCACATCAATGGTAAACTGCACTTCTAAAAAAAGAGGCAGAGATAATTGTGAGTGTGATTATGAATGGCTTGGCCTTCCTGGCCTTCCTACTTGAGATTGACTGATTGCTGTAGAAATCAGGGGTAGAGCAATCTGGAAAGGACAATGGCAATGAAAAAATATTCAGAACTTTCTTTAAAGCAGCAACACAACAATCAATGAAAGTTATTCTAGAGGTGGGCTGATATGGAACTCCTGGCCTCAAGCAATCCTCCTGCCTTCATCTCCCAAGTAGCAGGGTCTACAGGCCTGAGCCACCACACCTACTACCAGTAGGTCTCTTTAAAGACACTTTGTAGCAGCCCTTCACACTATTCTAATGTTTATTCTGGAAACTGACCCAAGGGCTCTATTTGGCTACTCTACATTTTAATATAAATGTTCCTATGCTAAACCTAAAATTTAGAAATCAGGTGGCTGGTATCTGTATTTAAAAGCTACCAAGTTTCTTCACTTTCTCAAGTTGTCATCTCATCGCAATAACATAATAGATTTTTTTTTTTAATCTGACTTGGACTGGTCATAACAGTGCGTTAACCAGTTGTTACTTGCACTGAATTGGATATGTTGGCTCTTCACCACATTATTGCCTGGTTATGTCAAAAAGCCTTAGAGACTTTGAAATGCTGCAGAATATAGAATAAAGATCCCTGGTTTCACAGACAGACTTAGATTTGAGTCTTGGCTTGGTTATTTAATATGTCCAGTGACCTTTAGCAAATCATTTTACCTCTTCAAATCTCAACGTTCACATGTATAAAATGGGCAGATGCTTGGCATATATTAATAGTAAGCTCTCAATACACATTGGTTGCTGTTTTTACTTCAGGGTGAAGACACGCAATGCACATAGTGCTCAGACAGATTCGAAATCCAAGAGTCAACCTTAAGTTCTGCATCATCATTGTGGCTTGCAGTCAGCACTGTGCTAGTGTTCCTGTGTTCCCTTTACCAGTCATCTTTTTTTTTTTCTTTTGTTTTTGGAGGCGGAGTTTCGCTCTTGTGGCCCAGGCTGAAGTACAATGGTGCCATCTCAGCTCACTGCAACCTCCACCTCCTGGGTTCAAGGGATTCTCCTGCCTCAGCCTCCTGAGTAGCTGGGATTACAGGCATGCGCCACCACGCCCGGCTAATTTTTGTATTTTTAGTAGAGACGGAGTTTCTCTATGTTTGTCAGGCTGGTCTCGAACACCCGACCTCAGGTGATCCACCCACCTTGGCCTCCCAAAGTGCTGGGATTATAGGCGTGAGCCACCACACCTGGCCAGTCATCTTAAGATTTTAGCATTTTAATATAAAGTGCCACTGATAATCAGATGGCTTTTTCACAAATATACTTGAATTTGTTCATCAGAATGAATGTGGTCTACTTCTTAATACATTTATTCCAGCACTATGTGCTTTGAACATCTCTGACACTCCTTTTTTGGACTAGCTTTCAGAGCTGCCTTTCCATCCTAAGAAACCTGTCATGCTGCTTTGCAGTTACAGGATATTCCCTCTTATCTGACATTTCATTTATCTGTCTCTCCTAGGCTCAATTTCTTTCTCTTATGTCCATGCTTTTCCTCATCTACTTCTATCAGTACTCTGTAGTCAATGTCTAAGAATTCTCCGTGTAGGGCTGTGATAACTGATTGGTTAGGAGTCTATATGTATGTCAGCACCTGTCTGTTTTAGGAGTAGGGGGAGACTAAGGGATTTGGAGAGGTGGCCAAGCAGAGCTAAGACAGAGCTAGGAGCCAGGGGAGATTTATGGGGAGGGGAACTAATCAAAACCAAAATAAACTATGGATGTTATTAATGGCACATGGAGCCAGTAACTAGTTTATCATATAGAAAAAAAAAACCCTATATTTTGGGAGAGTTAATACTGCCAGAGAAATTACTAAGTTGATCTAAAATTGTATGAATCTGCTCTAGATTTAGAACTACTCTTAGGCTCGTAAGAGTCTTTGGGCAGGAAAAGGGTTGAGAAACATGTGCAGCTTCCAAGGAAGGCATATTTTCCAACAACCACTTCAGGCGTCACTAAAGAGGTAATAGAAAAGGAAGAATCTTCTGGGGAGGTTGAGTTGGGAATGCGGGGGAGCAAAGGCTGTGGAGAACAACAAACAAAGGAGCTCCTCTTAGAGAGCAAAGTCATGACCTAATCAAGGAAGATTTCCCACACTTTGGTCAGGAGGGCCTCACAGCATCTATCTAGCAGGATTCCAGAATTGCTTTAGACCATTGACTACTGTGTGTCTCCCATTTTTCTCCCTTTCAGAATGGGAGAGTTAATTACAGTCCCAGTTCTGCAATTATATATTGCATGTGGTTCAGGAAGTGGGAAGCAGATATTTCATCCCTTTGGGCCATATGTAGTGGAATCAAGGGGATTCACATTTGGGCCTGATGAGAGGATCACTGTGAATCACTGAGAAATCCAGAATTTTGAGCTCCATGACATAGCTAGTTGAGATTTTTAGATTATCTTTTTTGGGGAGGTGGTTATTGAATCTACATCTGAGAAGAAGAGACATGGCCTTGTGGTGACAAGAATGGTGGACTATAGAAGATACTTCTGATGCTCACTCACATCCACATCTCTCCTGATAAACAGAAATCTCACATGCAGTTGGACAGGGCCATGTAGCAGTTCTACCCAATAGGTTATAGATGAAAGTGGCACATGCTTCTTGTGGGCCAGAACATATCATTGCCAGTGTAAGAACCCAAAGCATCTTCCCTGATGCGGTGACCAGCAACTTTCCAGATGGTGGCCTCCATCAGCCTGAGTCTGGAAGACTACACAGTTAGAGTCCCCGGTCAACATAACATTGACATGTAATAACAAGATTTGGCCAGGTGCAGTGGCTCACTCCTGTAATCCCAGCACTTTGGGAGGCCAAGGCAGGCAGATCACCTGAGGTCAGGAGTTCAAGACCACCCTGGTCAACATGGTGAAACCCTGGCTCTACTAAAAAAATTCAAAAATTAGCCAGGTGTGGTGGTATGCACCTGTAGTCCCAGCTACTCAGGAGGCTCAGGCAGGAGAATTGCTTGAACCTGGGAGGCAGAGGTTGCAGTGAGCCGAGGTCACGCCACTGCACTCCAGTCTGGGTGATAGAGCGAGACTCCATCTCAAAAAAAAAAAGAATGAGATTTAAAATTTGTTGTTCATGCTACTGATATATTTATTATTATATATTATTACTGCAGCACAACCTCATTTATTGGTGACTGCTACAGTGTTGAATATGGTAATTGATAATGCCAATGTGTTCATTAATGATTTCTACCTGAAATATGTGCAGTGTATCTTAATAGCTCTTAGATTCAAGTAAGGTGCTCTGTTCCTGAAATTAACAGGAATATAAAAAAATTAAAATATTTACCTCTAAGAGAAGACTAGCTTCAGTATTCTTACAACTTTAATACAAGTTGAAAGTTGAAGAAATAGTGTACAAGAAAATGACAAACCTGATAACTAGAGCCAATCCTAGATACAAGTATAATGAAGGTAAATTTATCTCCCAAGTCTAGGGTAGATTCTATGCAAAATTGGTTGCAATAATTCCTCTGCTTGTTTCCAGGCTCTTGGGTAACCCCCTCCCACACCAACTCTGAGTTTGTTTATGGCTTGTTTTGGACAATAAGACATTAGCAAATGAGATATAAGTACAGGCTTGAGAAGTACATGGGCACTGGGGCTTGCTTGCTGGCTGCTCTGTGGAACCTGAGACTACCACGTGAAGAAGAAGTTCGAAGTGCTAGAGGTTGAGAGAACATGTGCAGCAAAGATGAAGCATCCCAGCTGAGATTCCCCTAGATCAATCAGCTTGCCAACTGCCGCAAAAGCGAATAAAGCCTTCCAAGAGCATCCAGCTATAAGGTGAGCCAGTCCAGACCGGAAGAATCACCTGATCAACTGAAAGATATATGTGAAATAATAAATGTTAGAGGTTTTAAATTTTAAGAGGTACAGAGGCATATGGTTGATGGTTCTGTTGTATAATCATTATTTAGTCTGGAAAGAATCACTTGGAGTCGTCTGCTTTTAACTTTTGTCATAAACACAACATATGAGATAACATATTTCAAAACATTAAAAAATTTTTGTTTTGTTTTGTTTGGGTTTTGAAATGGAGTCTCGCTCTGTCACCCAGGCTGGAGTGCAATGGCGGGATCTCAGCTCACTGCAACCTCCACCTGCCAGGTTCAAGCGATTCTCCTTCCTCAGCCTTCTGAGTAGCTGGGATTATAGGTGTCCACCACCATGCCTGGCTAATTTTTGTATTTTTTGTAGAGCCGGGGTTTCACCATGTTGGCCAGGCTGGTTTTGAACTCCTGACCTCAGGTGATCCTCCTGCCTCGGCCTCCCAAAGTGTTGGGATTACAGGCGTGAGCCACTGCGCCCAACGAAAAAAAATTTTTTAAACTATAGAAACCCCCCTCAGGTTTGTAGCTGATGTTGGGCATGAAGATGTCTGTGCTTTTAGAGCCCATTTTCAAGTTTTAGATACAGATTTTCCCCCAACAAAAATTCATGGAAGTTTCAAGGATTGCCCATAAGAATATATCTCTCAAGAAAAGCATTGAATTTATTTCATTGTACCATATTTTGAAATGTCAAGGAAAAAGGAAGATGCCTCAAAACATTGCAGATTCACACACAGCTTTTCTTTATTTTTAGCATTAACATAAATTACATTAAACTCTTGATTTTTAAAAATCGTTATACAGTTAATTAGTGAAGAATTCCTAAGTGTTTATCTGCCCAGGGTCATTTCTTCCATTAGTTCCCCCTTAGTACTTAACTGAAATTGCTGTGTTTTCAGACCTAAAGATTAAGTCATGGGAGGTTGGTATTGAAGTACAAAAGGTATTTGGTATTTTAGATACATGATAAATAAGGCATGAATACGTTAGCTCAAATTATGGGACAGAATTAAAATATGATAATAATCGTGATTTCCATTTATTAGGACACAGTATCCTGGACCTGGGGCAAGTGGCAAATGAATTTTAAGCAGTTGGCAAAGCTTTTCATAAGTAAATCTAGCTGCATATCAGACTGTATTGTAGTCCCAGCTGCTTGGGGGGTAGGGTAACTGAAGCAGAGGATAGATAGCTTGAGCCCAGGAGTTCAAGGCTGCAGTGAGCCATGATCCCACCACTGCACTCCAGCCTGGGCAACAGAACCAGACTTTCGCTCTAAAAATAAATTAATAAATAAAAAGTAATTCAGCAGTTTTCTTTCTTGGATAGTAAAAAATATCTCCTAAAATAGGAAGAGGTGTAGGGTGAAGAATTAACATATGCTGAATCCTTACCAGGTGGCAGATTCTATTCTTAGCATCTATGTACATGATCTCATTTATATCTCATAATAAACCTATAAATTGAGCATAGTCATTTCCATTTACAAAGGAGGAGCCTAAGACTACTCACTGTATGTTTCTCAAAGTGTATTCCACAGATCACTCACACCAGATAACCTAGGGAACTTAACAGAAGTTTACATTTCTTGTCCTCAAATCAGATTTCCCTGACTCATAATTTCTGGGGCACTTTTAAGAAAACCAATAAATTATACAAAAGCGGCCGGGCACAGTGGCTCATGCCTGTAATCCCAGCACTTTGGGAGGCCAAGGTGGGCAGATCACAAGGTCAAGAGATTGAGACCATCCTGGCCAACATGGTAAAACTCCGTCTCTACTAAAAATACAAAAATTAGCCAGGCATTGTGGCGCATGCCTGTAGCCACAGCTACGCAGGAGGCTGAGGCAGGAGAATCGCTTGAACCCAGGAGACGGAGGTTGAGTGAGCTGAGATCAGGCCACAGGCCACTGCACTCCAGCCTGGCGACAGAGCGAGACTCCGTCTAAAAAAAAAAAAAAAAATTATACAAAATTTACAAAATACAGCCGGCACAGTAGCTCACGCCTGTAATCTCAGCACATTGGAAGGCCGAGGCAGGCAGATCGGTTGAGGCCAGGAGTTCCAGACAAGCCTGGCCAACATGGTGAAACCTGTCTCTACTAAAAATACAAAAAATTAGCCAGGTGTGGTGCCGCAACTACTCGGGAGGCTGAGGCACGAGAATCATTTGAACCTAGAGGTGGAGGTTGCAGTGAACCAAGATTGCACCACTGCATCCCAGCCTGGGTGACAGATCGAGACTCTGTCTCAAAACGAAAAAAAAAAAAGAAAGTTATAAAATCCATGAAAGTTTTCACTTTTGGTGGGTGGATGTTAAAGTCATTAGTTAATCCACCTCTGTTCATGACAGTTTCTTAATGATCTATATCTATAATTACATTTCTATGTTATAAAAGGTCAATTATTTTTATCTGCAAATAAAAGCAGCATAAGGAAGAAAGATTAACATTCTAGACATTAGTGTCTATCCAGTCTCTTCCTCAATGTATTGCTATTTTTATCACTTGTAATTATTAAAAAATATTTATATCTTTCTTTTCTATTTTTTTTGTCCTTATTTCAGTCTCTCTTTTTACTACTTTCTTATTCTACACCAATTTTTCTTCTTCCCTTACTAGCTAGCCTTGGGTTTGTCACTAGCTTCTCGTGATATTTGGTGAGGTGTTAAATAATTCTCCCCTTTCCCAGTTCTGAACAAATTAATATCCTATATACAGAGAATCCAGACAGATGGAGATTAAAACCAAAAAGCTAGATTGAAAACTAGGGCTTAGATCAACAACTAATCAAGCTTCCTAATACTTCTCACTAAGTGTAGACCTTGGGATGACCCACTTACCTGAAATCACTGCTTCAAACCTGTCAAGCCTAGAGAGTAGTAACAGGGACAAGCAGCCTCCAGCCATGTTTCTAGAAGACAGTTTTAAATTGGGTATTAGTATTAATGCATATGTATTTGTATATGTTTATAATTAATACATATATTCATATATATTATATGAAAAGGTAAATATTTCTACAAAATTTAAACCTAAATTAAAATCAGTCAATCTCAGTTGCAGAGGCAGAGTGCTAAGCTTGGCAGAATATGTAAATGTGGAAGAAGCATGTGCCTCTGACGACTGCCTTAAGACCATGTCCTCCCTCCCAATAATAATATACAGGAACAGAGATAAAATGATGCCATAGCAGGTTCCCTATCATGTCCACCTTGCTTACAAGTTCATGTTGCTTGAAGGGATTCAGCAAATCATGTAGAATTGTAGGATCATGTATAATTATATGAATTAATTATGTGAAATCATCCAGTGGGAATTAAGATATGGTTCAAGAAGTTACATGTTGGCTGTAGAAATGAAGATTACCGGACCCCAATGTCAATTCTCTGTGACAAGTATGGGGTTTTCGCAAAGTTAGAAGGCTATCATTACTGATTTTTTTTTAATACACCATGTAGCAAGGAGACCTAATTGGAGGAGTATAACAGAGTGTACAGCAATGGGGATGACAGTGGTGGCAATAGCAGCTATGACCCAGAGTCAATTAGCTTCAGGTAAAGCCTTCTAAAATGATATACACAGATGAATAAGAATGCCCTGTCCTCACAGAATTTATACTTTGACAGCTAGAGAAGATAGAAACAAATTTATTTCAGTAATATAAATAAGAGTGACAACAGCTAACATTTATTGAGTCCCTATTATATTCCAGACACTGTGTTATACAGTTGATCCTTGCTATAGAATCATGATGTAGGTATTAATATAATTATTATTTTAAGCCTGGATAACATGATGAGACACCATCTCTACAAAAAATTTAAAGATTAACAGGCGTGGTGGCACTCCCCTGTAGTGCCAGCTACTCAGGAGGCTGAGGTGGGAGGATTGCTTGAGCCCAGGAGGTCAAGGCAGCAGTGAGCCATTATCACACCCCTGCACTCCAGCCTGGGCGACAGCGCAGGACCCTGTCTTGCTAAAAAAAATATCTTATTTTATAGATGGAGAAACTGAGACTTGGGTAGAGTGTGGGTATTAAGCAGTTTGCTCATGAATGTGCAGGAAGCAGATCCTTAAGTTAGAATGTAAACTCAGGGGAAAACATATAAAACATTGTGAACACAAAACCCATAGGTCAGGCAGGAAGAAAGACTTGGGGAAATGCCTAAGTGAAGTTGCTGTTAAGGCCATTTTCTCAATAGACTAGCACCTTGCCTAGAATAGTGTTAACTAGTTTTTGAATTTTTTGGGTGTGAATACTCATAATGAACTTATGTGTTTAGGGGAAGGAAGTGGCAAGAATCATACTTTATGTTGGAATCCATGTTTTCCTCTATTTTTCTCTTGGTTTGAAGAGAGAGACAGGAGGGAGAGGCTTTAGCAGCCAGGCTTAAGAACAGAGGGAAATCAAATCTGCCAAGTGAGGGGCATGCCAAGAATTCAGGTCCTAGAGATTATGGTGGATTCGGGCATAGATAGCTAGGGCAATTAGAATATGCAAGTAATCAGCCAGAGCTAATTAGTTAACAACAGACTTCTGGTTTAAGTTCTGAAAACCTAAAGTTGCAAAGCAGCTGAAACAGCTAAAGTAAGGTTTTAGGTGTCAAAACTATTCCCAGAGTAGAATGTACAAATTGAGGCAGCAAACATAATTATGAATAGGTCTAAAATATCAAAAGTGGAAGATTTCTAGTTTTCTTAAAGGTAGCAAAGAAAACCAAAGATGAAAGAGTTGTTAATAAATGTTAAGATTTATTCTGACAGGAATGTGATTTGTACCTAAAAGATATGTTTCTTTTATAACACTTTTTGTATAATGAATAACTAATTTATAGCATTATTTTAATAAAGGGTTACATATTTAGATTTAAACATTTACTTCTCAACAGAGCTAACTTATAGAGCTCAAAGGATTGTCATAAACAGATTCTAGCTAGGAAGCTATGCTTCTGAGTCCTGACAGGACAGCTCAACGTTGTCTTATATGAGAAACCATAAGAAATACCTGATGGGGGCCGGGTGCAATGGCTCACGCCTGTAATCCCAGCACTTTGGGAGGCCAAGGCAGGCAGATCACGAGGTCAGGAGATCGAGACCATCCTGGCCAACATGGTCTCTACTAAAAATACAAAAATTAGCCAGGTGTGGTGGCACATGCCTGTAGTCCCAGCTATTCAGGAGGCTGAGTCAGGAGAATCACTTGAACCCGGGAGGCAGAGGTTGCACTGAGCCGAAGATGGTGCCACTGCACTCCAACCTGGGTGACAGAGTGAGACTCCATCTCAAAAAAAAAAAAAAGAAATATCTGATGGATGGGAGATGGAAGGATGGAGAGCGTGGCATTGGTTATTAATATACCCAATTCAAAGCTCAAAAGCAGGTTACAAAACTTCCTTTTTGCTTAGAGTCCCAGGATCCCTTGGAGAAAGCTTTGGGACTGACAGTTAGGTCCCTGTGATGTTGAAACTGGGACAAAGAGGGGAGACAAAATCCACCCAGCTTCTATGCAGGATGGGGCTGGGGGTTAATATATCAGGAAAGGAAACAATTTACCATATAATAAAAGATTCTTACTGGTCAACAGAGAAAAGATTTTTTTCAGTTGTTCAGATGGGGTAAATAATACTTATCTGTCCTCGAGTTCACTGCTTTTATCTTGTCATCTCCATTCTTGACTGGAGATTCTATGAGCTGATCTACTGTTGTGTTGTGTTGTGTTGTGTTGTGTTGTGTTGTGTTGTGTTGTGTTGTTTGAGACAAGGTCTTGCTCTGTCACCTAGGCTGGAGTGCAGTGACACAGTACAGTCACATCTCACTGCAGGCTCGACCTGCTGGGCTCAACCAATTCTCCTGCCTTAACCACCACCCCCCTCAACCCGCTGCCACTGGCCCCCAGTAGTTGGTGGCATGTGCCACCACACCCAGCTAATTTTCGTAGAAACAGGGTTTCACTATGTTTCCCAGACTGGTCTCGAGCACCTGAGCTCAAGCGATCAAACCACCTCAGCCTCCCAAAGACCCACTGCACCCCACCTCCAGTGGGTTTTTAATTTTGGTTATTGTATTTTTCAGTTTTCTATTTTCCATTTGATTTTTTAACTTCTATTCTTTGCTGAGATTTTCTATACTTTTACTCATTTCAAGTGAAATCATAATTGCTTGTTGATGCATTTTTATAATGGCTGCTCTAAAATCCACGTCAGATAATTCAAACATCTGATACGTTTCAGTGTTGGTGTAATGTAATTGTCTTGTCTCATCTAAGTTATGACTGTCCTGGCTGCTAGTATGATAGGCGACTTTCTATTGTATCCTGGACATTTGGGCTATTGTGTTAGGAAATTTTGGGTCCTATTTAAATCTTCTATTTTAGCAAGCAGTCACTCTGCATATGTTTAGCTTGCAGGTCCTGGTCTAATTGTAGACTGCGGTTCCAATGACAATTTAATTTTGTTTTCAGGGCCTTTGCTGTGCTATTTTGATCTGCTTAGTTCCTCTGATGACACCAGGGTTCCCACTGATCCCTGCAGTTACCTCATGTGGGGACAAAAGGCACTTCCCCAGTCCAGGCCACCTGTGCCTGTACATGGGAGAAGGAAGTGTCCAGCCCCCTGGAAGAAAAAGTAGTTTCCCAGGGTGACTTGTCAAAAGAGCTTCTACTCTATCCCTCTTGTCAATGGAAGTCCTATTAAATCCAGGGGAGGAATAACCCTACTTGGGCCATCTTCTGCTACTAGATTAGAATTCATGAAAAACAGGGACTGGGCTGTCTTCTGCTGCTGAGTGGAGAGGATCATAAGATACCTGGCCACTGTGCTGCTCCTCACCTCTCATATTCTTAGCCAGCCTGCCTTCCACTTTTTAACTTCAGAGTGCTCCTGTGGTTGCATCATGCATTATTTCCAGGGTTTATAGTTGTTCTTGGCAGGAACAAAGAAGTACAAGTCTATGCCATCTTATCTGGAAAGGAAGCCTACTAGAAGGATTTTTATTTTATTTTATTTATTTATTTTTGCCACATAAGGGGTTTCTCTCTGTTGTCCAGGCTGGAGTGCATTGGCATAATAATAGCTCACTGCAACCTTGAACTCCTGGGCTTAAGCAATTCCACCTGCCTCAGTCTCCTGAGTAGATGGGGTTATAGACGCAAGCCACTGGCACAGCTCAGAAAGAATATTTTTAAAGGTAATACAGTGTTGTCATTTAAATACACTCTAACCAATCTTTGAGGGACTTGAAATGATTGAACAAATATTATTG